>NC_000007.14:150367470-150518985 GCF_000001405.40 Homo sapiens
TGGCAAAAAATAACCATGTGAAAAAACAATCCAGCTAACTAGTACTCTAAGAAATGCAAGTACAAAAGATGAGAAATAACCATTTCAAACTAAATTTTTTTTTTAAAAAAGTCTGTGTTGTCAAGTATATGGAAAATGGGCATTTCTCAGGGAAAACTAATACGTTTTCCTGGAAGATAATTTAGAAAACATTTAAAAAATATATTCCTTTTATACAGCCATAAATAATCATGTTTAAAAGAATATCTAATAAAATGGAAGAAAATTCACAAGATCGTGTTAAGTGAAGAAGGCAGAATACATCTTCGCAAGGCATTATTCCAATTATGCCAGACATGCCATGGATATACGTAGAGAAAACACCGGAGGCAACATACCAAAATATTAAATGTAATTGACTCTACGAGGTAAAACTGAGTTTTATGTTCCCCTATTTCCTATTTATGCAATAGATTTAAAAAGTATTTTTACGACTAATTATACAATTCAAAAATTGCCTGTGTTGAAAAGCATGAAAGTACATGAAATTGTACTACCCTGGAAACCCCAGGAAGTGTTTAGTTTGGAAAGCCAGGGCCACCTGCTAGTGGGTGAGTCATGGGCACAGGCTCGCACCTGCCACCGCAGACGCCACACAGGCTGCTGAGCCTTTCCAAGCGAAATGCCCCACGTGCGCCAACGGCCACCTCGGCCGTCGCCCCACGCTTGGCCCGCAGCCAGAGGAAGCCCAGCAACTTCTGCTCTTTCTTAATTTCTAGAAAAGAGTGAAGAGAGGCCTTTTCAAAGTTCGCAGGATCGGGCCTTTTTGTGCTCCACTTTGGAACAAATCGGAAGCTAGGGCCTTCCAGGTGCGCCACCGCCGTCCCGGGACCGCCGCGGCCGCAAGCGTCCGCACTGCGGCCGGGGTGCGCGGCCTGAGAAAGGCCCGGGCAACGACGCTCCGGGGGCTTGCCGGAGCCCTCTTTGAAGTCTCCCGACGGGCTCCCAGCCTCTCATAAGGCAGCTAAGGCCGAACACCCCGGTGACCATAGGCCAGCCACGCGGTCGCCCGGGGACGCGCGTGCTCCGCAGGGACAAAGGGTCGGGAAACTTGAGCTCCGGCCAGTCCCAGAGAAACCCGGGCTGGTGGTCGCCATGGCAACGGAGTCCGACCCTCCGAGGCCTGCCGCCCTGGCGCGGCAGTGGCTTGAGTGACCCGGCCCGCTCTTGGCGGGGGCGCCCGCGCCCCGGCCCCGGCAGTCCCTCCCCGCCCCCAGGCCGCGGCCGCGGGAGCCGGCGACTGACCCTCGGCAGCTCCTGTAGTCACGTGGCGCTGGGAACCCGGCGGGGGGAGGTTGGGGACGGGCCTGGCAGTTGTGAACTCGAACCTGCCGCTGTCGCCGCGGCGGGGCGGGGAGCGAGAGTGGGCCGCGGAGGCCGGCCTTCGGGCTCCATGGACGGGCGCCGCGTCCCTGCACAGCCCGCCGCAGAGGTACGGCCGGGGCAGGGGCGCGGGGCCACCGCGGGCCCGCGGGGGGCCGCTCCACCTGCGGGGCGCGTGACCGTGAGTGTGCGCGACCGTGTGTGAGTGCGCGGGGGGGGACGCTGCTGGATCTGCGGGGGTGGGGGAGCGCACCTGCGCACAGGCTCCGCGAGCTGCGCCGTGCGTGGGACCCGAAATGGCTCACTCGCAAGAACGGGACCCGTGTGCCCGGGAGCGTGGACGGAGGACACGCATCAGTACAAAAGGGCGGTGTGGGGCTTCTGCCACCCGCGGCCAGCCGCGATGCGGAAGGGGATTCTGACGGAGTCGTGGTCACACCAGCTGGCCCTGCGCAGCCCCATGGGAAATAGGCCTGGAATTCCTGTCGGGAGGAGGCTGGGGGAAGGGGAGCCAGCAGGGATTCCAGAGTTCCTGCCATAGGCCGGCCTTTGGCCATCAGGGAAAGCCCAGACTCTGGCCACAGAATGGAGAATTCGTTCCGTGACCTTACCAGGGAAGAAAGTGACCCCGAAAGACAGCAGTGTGCTTCCTTGTTGAAGGGGCACATTCATTTATTAATCCAATGTCCATTAAGGTCACTCTGCCAGGCAGGATGTGGGGCTTATGGCTGGTGCGTGTGGCTTTGTGGGGGGAGGGGTTGTGGCTGGTGAGGACACAAAGCTGACTGCCCTAGAGGAGCTCAGAGCCTCACTTCTGTTTTCTCTTCCCTCCCCACAGGTAAGGCTGGCCTCTCTGCAGTCAGAGGTCTGAGCTCTGCCATGGGGATAGGGGTGTCTTTATTACTGCAGTTTTCTCTAACACCTGGGGGCTACCGGAGTGTGGGCCGAAGCAGGCGCTGCAGCCGCGGAAGTATCCCCAGGAACATCCCCAAGAGGAGCTGGAAAAAGCCTCATCCCCAGCTCTGCAGTCTCCAGGGTAGAGTCTGGCCTTTGCTGTGCTCCCAAACCACGCCACAACAGGGGTGCACGGGCGTCCCCATCCCGGCGGAAGGAAATGGCCCTTTCTCATATCCTGGGGTCTTCCCTGTGCACAGTCTGACACTGGGAATGAGTGACCTTTGTGTTCCCTGAGAAGAGAGAGTGCGCTCTAGGGAATTTAGAAGGATGTGTCTGGAGCTTGTGAGCAGGCACAGAAGGGCCCTTAGGAGCCTAACTGCTTCCTTCCTCCTTCCGCGGAGGAGGCTCCTGTGCAGGAATCTGGGCTCCCCTGAGCTGTGGAAGAGCTGAACATGGGGCAGCCCCTGGCGAGGTTGGGGCAGGACCGGGCAGGGGACTGAGATTGCAGTCTCATCTTCCCTCCCCTTCTATTGCCCCAGTAATCTCCAGCACCCCGAGGGAGGCAGAGCCGGTGATCAGGCCCCGAGGGCAGCAGGCTGTGGGTGTTCCTTGGATTCAGGGAGAGCCTTCCTTCCTGCAATGTCCTAATTTGTGTGGGTGGAAGAGGGCAGGCGGGCAGAATGGGGGCACAGTCTGGGCAGGCGGTGGTCTGGCGTTAGACTGCCGGGAGTAGCACCCAGGGCTCTGCTCCTGTTCCCCGAGAAGGGCTGTTCTCACTTGTCCTCCAGCCTCCTACGGAGACTGCAGTTAGTGATGCTGAAAGTGCCTCCCCTGTGGGGCTAGGAATGAAAAGCTATAGACACCTTTTTCTCTGAGATCTTTGCAAACCCAGGCGCTTTAGAGGAAAGAACACTGGCCTGGGAGTTTAAAGACCTGTTCCCTAGTCTTGATTCTGCTGTTGGCTTACTGTGTCACCTTGGGCAGGTCTCGTCATCTTTGATGTCTCACAGTTGCTTCATCTGTTAAACAGGGAGCTCAGTGTCTGTTTGTCCAGCTTCTCAGAGTTGCTGTGCAGCTCGGATGTGGCATAGGAAACAGCAGACACAGGGAGAGGGCAGCATAAGGCACTGTAGGGAGCAGTGGCCACATTTTCTGGTGAGTCCTGTGGCAGGAATGTTTGTGCATTCAGCACTGGAGCATTTACTCCCTGTCTGACACTGGGGTAGCTGCCATGAGGGGGATTCTAGTATCAGAGTCCCTCCCTTCTGGAAGTTTCCAGGGCAACAAAGACATAAGACAAACATCCTTGAAATGTTATCTAAAAACCCAAGATTGAAATAATACATACCACACAAGGAAACAGGAGAGTAGTCTAGCTCCATGTCCGGGGCTCTAGGGGTTCATAGATGGCAGCTCCTGTCCGGGGCTGAGGTTGGGAGGGGAGAAACAGGGGCAGAGTGAGTTGGTCTCTGGAGTGACTGTGCTTTTCCACCCTCAGCAGAGGAAGAACCGATGCTGGAACGTCGTTGCAGGGGCCCCCTGGCCATGGGCCTGGCCCAGCCCCGACTCCTTTCTGGGCCCTCCCAGGAGTCACCCCAGACCCTGGGGAAGGAGTCCCGCGGGCTGAGGCAACAAGGCACGTCAGTGGCCCAGTCTGGTGCCCAAGCCCCAGGCAGGGCCCATCGCTGTGCCCACTGTCGAAGGCACTTCCCTGGCTGGGTGGCTCTGTGGCTTCACACCCGCCGGTGCCAGGCCCGGCTGCCCTTGCCCTGCCCTGAGTGTGGCCGTCGCTTTCGCCATGCCCCCTTCTTAGCACTGCACCGCCAGGTCCATGCTGCTGCCACCCCAGACCTGGGCTTTGCCTGCCACCTCTGTGGGCAGAGCTTCCGAGGCTGGGTGGCCCTGGTTCTGCATCTGCGGGCCCATTCAGCTGCAAAGCGGCCCATCGCTTGTCCCAAATGCGAGAGACGCTTCTGGCGACGAAAGCAGCTTCGAGCTCATCTGCGGCGGTGCCACCCTCCCGCCCCGGAGGCCCGGCCCTTCATATGCGGCAACTGTGGCCGGAGCTTTGCCCAGTGGGACCAGCTAGTTGCCCACAAGCGGGTGCACGTAGCTGAGGCCCTGGAGGAGGCCGCAGCCAAGGCTCTGGGGCCCCGGCCCAGGGGCCGCCCCGCGGTGACCGCCCCCCGGCCCGGTGGAGATGCCGTCGACCGCCCCTTCCAGTGTGCCTGTTGTGGCAAGCGCTTCCGGCACAAGCCCAACTTGATCGCTCACCGCCGCGTGCACACGGGCGAGCGGCCCCACCAGTGCCCCGAGTGCGGGAAGCGCTTTACCAATAAGCCCTATCTGACTTCGCACCGGCGCATCCACACCGGCGAGAAGCCCTACCCGTGCAAAGAGTGCGGCCGCCGCTTCCGGCACAAACCCAACCTGCTGTCTCACAGCAAGATTCACAAGCGATCCGAGGGGTCGGCCCAGGCCGCCCCCGGCCCGGGGAGCCCCCAGCTGCCAGCCGGCCCCCAGGAGTCCGCGGCCGAGCCCACCCCGGCGGTACCTCTGAAACCGGCCCAGGAGCCGCCGCCAGGGGCCCCGCCAGAGCACCCGCAGGACCCGATCGAAGCCCCCCCCTCCCTCTACAGCTGCGACGACTGCGGCAGGAGCTTCCGGCTGGAGCGCTTCCTGCGGGCCCACCAGCGGCAGCACACCGGGGAGCGGCCCTTCACCTGCGCCGAGTGCGGGAAGAACTTCGGCAAGAAGACGCACCTGGTGGCGCACTCGCGCGTGCACTCCGGCGAGCGGCCCTTCGCCTGCGAGGAGTGCGGCCGCCGCTTCTCCCAGGGCAGCCATCTGGCGGCGCATCGGCGCGACCACGCCCCCGATCGGCCCTTCGTGTGTCCCGACTGCGGCAAGGCCTTCCGCCACAAACCCTACCTGGCGGCGCACCGGCGCATCCACACCGGCGAGAAGCCCTACGTCTGCCCCGACTGCGGCAAAGCCTTCAGCCAGAAGTCCAACCTGGTGTCGCACCGGCGCATCCACACGGGCGAGCGGCCCTACGCCTGTCCCGACTGCGACCGCAGCTTCAGCCAGAAGTCCAACCTCATCACCCACCGCAAGAGCCACATCCGGGACGGCGCCTTCTGCTGTGCCATCTGTGGCCAGACCTTCGACGACGAGGAGAGACTCCTGGCCCACCAGAAGAAGCACGATGTCTGAGACGGTGGGCGGGGCCGTGTTGGCTGAGAGAGGGCTGGGGTCCTTCGTGGTGGGAGTCGCAGTGGGCTGGGGGTGCCTGCCTAGTGCTGGAGTAGGGGACAATGGGAATCCTAGAGGGGATGGAAGACGCGGGGAGTGAGCTGGGTGGGCCCTGCTAGCGAGAGAGGTCAACCCCGGTGGCCAGGGAACCCACTTCCAAGCGCAGGGACGCCGGCCTCCAGCTGGTGTGTGCTAAGGCTCCGTCCTGACTGCCCTGTGCCCTGGAAAAGCAGCAATAGCATCCGCCCCTTAGAGCCCTCTGGCTAGAGGAGCCACCAGTGGAAAGGAAGACCCTCCATCCTCTGGTATTAACGCCTTAATGCCCCTGTCTTTTACTGTAAGTTACTTAAGATCATTTTTGGAAGCAGGCGTGGTAGAGTCCTGTAAATGAATGCTCTGGGCTAGATACAGCTTGGAGAACCTGCTGGCCTTGTTAGACAGCACTTGGGCCTTTGCCAGCAGCAAGAGGTGAAGCGAAGCCACTCTTACCTCTCCCTTCCCCTCCCACCTGCCCCCTGCGTAGGCACCCAGACTTGGAGAGACCCGTCTGCTGTTAATACTTCCATCCTCTTCCTTCCCAAAGAGCAGATCCCAAGGCATTTACTCCTTGGTCTGTCTCGCTTTATCTGTCGCCCCTCCCAGCGCTGAGAGCCTCCCCTGGCTGTCAGCAGCACTGTGTCCAGGCTCTTGTCTGAACACCGCAGCCCCTCCTTCGCTCCTTCCAGAGCTCAGCATGTCACGGCAAGGACTGCCGCATTGGTGATGGAGGGCCAGCTGAGGGGAAGTTGCTGGTGAGTTTCCTTTTCTCCATTTCTAGCATATGGACACCTGGCCTCTGCTTGAGCACTTAGGTGACAGGAACTTCCGCACCTCCTGAGGCCCTGGATGATTCTAATTGTTAGAAATTCTAATTGTTAGAAATCCTTCCTTATAATGAATGAATTCTGCTTTCCTATAATTTCTACCTATTGGGCCTTGTTCTGTTCTCTGGAACTAAACAGAACAACCATTTACCCCTCCTTTTCAAACTAGAGAATAAAGATTTGGTTTTAGAACTGGTGGCTGGGGAGTGTTACTTTTTCTGGGGGAGCTGCGACATGTCAGGAGGAGCAGCATGCTCTCCTCCCTAGAAGGACGGGGGGCTGTGGGTGGGGCTCTGGCCACAGGCCACATGCCCAGCTTGCTGAGCTCTGGCCCCCTGCCTCAGTTCTTCCCTGAGCATACCCAGGCAGTTGGGCTAATTCTCTGGGTGGTGGGCCGAAGCTCCAGAGAACTGTGGTGGGTGGAATGCTCTCAGCTTGGTCCCAAGATTTATGTTCTTGGTCACTTGCCCTCCTAGATGGGCCCAGCAACACCTAATCTTTCTCACCACCTGGGCCTTTATGAAACTACAGCAAGCACTATGAGCTCTTTTGAGGGGTGCTGGGTGTTAAACGGACTTTGGTTATACTTGGACTGTGCCTCCAGTAGTCCTTCAGAGGTTGGACAGATGAAGGAGCCTCTGGGAGGGGAGGCTGTTCCCTGCAGCTAAGACAGCACTCAGCTTCCACACTCCACACACCAGGGTTTCAGCCTTCTTTGAGGTTGTTGTCAAACCCAGCCTGGGTCCACTTGCCCAGTGTTTGCAAAGCCTAACACCGACAGTGAGATTTGCAGCCAGAGAAAGTAAGGCGTTTATTGCAGAGCACCAGGCGAGGAGAATGGGCAGCTAAGGCTCAAACTCCCTGATGGCTTTTAAGCAAGGGTTTTTAAGGCAGGGGTGGGGAGGTTTCAAAGGGAGTTAGGGGCTGAGGAATTTCTGGAACTTCCTTATCCATTTTCTGGTTCCAGTCTGTCTGAGGTCTACGTGCTGGCATTGTCACGTGGTGACATTGGTGGGGGTCCTGGCTCCTGAAAAACAACTCAAGGATATATGTCAAGATGTTATCTTTAGGCCAGGCATGGTGGCTCATGCCTGTAATCCCGGCACTTTGGGAGGCCGAGGTGGGTGGATCACCTGAGGTCAGGAGTTCAAGACCAGCCTGGCCAACATGGTGAAACCCCATCTCTACTAAAAATACAAAATTAGCTGGGTGTGGTGGCGGGCCCCTGTAGTCCCAGCTACTAGGGAGGCTGAAGCAGGAGAATTGCTTGAACCTGGGAGGCGGAGGTTGCAATGAGCTGAGATCGTGCCACTGCATTCCAGCCTGGGCAACAGAGTAAGACTTTGTCTCAAAACAAACAAACAACCCAAAAAACAAAACAAACAAAAAGATGTTATCTTTAGTTTCTATGAGGAAGCTAACATTCTGTGACTACTACTTGAGTGACTATTGTTTAAGCTATTATTACTTTCTTGCTTAGCGGGTTATTCATTCATTTCCCCAATTCATGGTTGTAGAGCTAGCTAGGTGCCTGGAATTTCCCTGGGAGGGACTCACATTTTTGTTTATTCTCATGCTTTTCAAGTGATGGGCAGAACCCAGCAGGCTCCTAAGTGGAGTCTCTGAGGCTGGGCGTGGTGGCTCACGCCTGTAATCCCAGCACTTTGGGAGGCCGAGGCAGGTGGATCACCTGAGGTTAGGAGTTTGAGACCAGCCTGACCAACATGGAGAAACCCTGTCTCTACTAAAAATACAAAATTAGCCGGGCATGGTGGTGCATGCCTGTAATCCCAGCTACTCGGCAGGCTGAGGCAGGAGAATCACTTGAACCCAGGAGGCAGAAGTTGCAGTGAGCCGAGATCGCGCCATGGCACCCCAGCCTGGGCAACAACTCTGTCTCAAAAAATAAAAATAAAAAAAAATTAAAAAAGAGGGTCTCTGCTCCATCTCAAGGTCAGGTCAGACTTTTCAGGTGCTAGTTGCTAGGCAGGAAAGGGGGCTGATTTGATTCTGTCCTACAGTGTCCCTGGCCGGCCTGCTGTAGGACTCCAGATTTCTGTGAGCAGTCACTCTGTATGCGTCCCTGAATTGGTGGTTTCATACAAATTTGAGTACCTCTTTTTACCAGGCATTAATAGTTCTTTTCTTGCCTGTGTTAGCAATTTCTGCATATATCTCCAGCATTTAGCACAGAGCACATAAGAATAACCACAATTTGTTGACGTGAGTGGCACCTGGTGAAGTTTACCTAAATTATCTCATGTGTCCTTGTGTGGGAGGTAGTCTTCTTTTATACATGAAAACATTTGCCCACAGTCATATAACTGGTAATCACCAGAGGCAGATTCAAATTCAAGTCTGTCTGACTCCTGAAACCTGTGCTCTTGACAACCGCTGTGTGCTTAGTGGATGAACGCTGCGTGCTGCTGTTTTTGGTTAAGTATTAAATGCCAACTGTGTGGGTGGGGCTTAAAGTGTGTAGGATGGAAAGAACAGCTTCAAAGCTTCATATTGGTTTATGGGGTTATGGAGCCACTTAAAAACCTGTGTAGTTGATGGCAAATTATCTGTCAAAGCCTGGGAGCAGAGGGCGTGGTCTCAAGAAAGCCCCAGTCACATTTTTTCTCTTTGTGGGAACACAGGGTTTCCAGGGAAGGGGAGATGGCCAGGAAAGAGTAGGTCGATGTCTGGAAATGATGGGCAGGGAGCAGGGGCGGGTCCTTGGGTTGGCACCTAGGTTAGTATTGGAGCCGTTAGGGACAAGGATGAGGGTGAGAGGGGATCTGACCAGGGGTCCTAACCTTTTGAAAAGTCCCGTTTAAAGGAAATAGTCTGGGATATGGGGAAAGCGGGGTGTGGGTGTCGTCAGTGCTTCACTGCCCACTGCTTGTTATGGGGATGGGAAAGAGAGGTCCAAAGGACGGAAAGGTCACACAAGTGGCCTTGAGGGGGCTGGTAAAGCAGGAACAGAGTCAAATTGTGCCTGGTTCCTTCCTGAGTCCCTTGGTGGGTGGCCCAGTGGTTCTCAAGCCCTTGCTCTGCCTGGTTCATCACCACAGCAGTCACTGGGGAGGACTGCCTGGGTTGTAGGGGTCTGCTGGCAGGAGCTGCCCATCTCTTCTGAAGAATCCACAGTTTTTCTTTGTTTTCTTCTACAATTACAAAAGCATTAAATTATCTTTAAAAATAAATAATTCAGATAATAATGTGAACGTTCTCCTTCATTCCCCTATTCCACTCTCAAAATCCTTTTTGTTTACACTGAGAAAAGTTTGAGGAGTATTCTCCTAACACTTTTTTCCTGTGTATTTGCAAACACATATGCAGCCTCTCCCCCTGGTATTTTTTTTCTTAGTGGAAATAGGATCCCAGAGGTTCTCCATTCTTTCCACCTCTGAAATACCCTTGGTCATGGGATGCCAATCTGGAGGAAGTCTGCTCTGTAAGAAGGAAACAGGCCCAGAGAGTGGAAGTGACCCCCACCGGTGGGGGTCCTAATTTCTGAAAAACAACTCAAGGACATATGTCAAGATGTCATCTTCAGTTTCTATAAGGAAGCTAACGTTTTGTGACTCTTATTTGGGTACTATTGTTTAAACTATTACTACTTTCTTGCTTAGCAGGTCATTCATTCACTTCCCTAATTGCTGGTTGCAGGGCTAGCTAGGTGCCTGGAATTTCCCTTGAAGGGACTCAAATGTTTCTTTATTTTCGTGCATTGAATGGGGGGCTGGTGGCAGACCCCTAAGAGAGGTTCCTGCTCTGTCTCAACACTTGTAGCCAGTGGCAAATCTGGAACTAGAATACTGGTCTCAGCAACAGGAATGTATTCCACAAGCCTTCGTAGAACCTCTTCTAGGTACTCTTCTAGAAAATAAGCTAGGTGTGGTGGTGCATGCCAGTAGTCTCAGGTGTAGTTCAGGTGGGAGGATCCCTTGAGGCCAGGAGTTTGAGGCTGAAGTGCGTTATGATTGTGCCTGTGAATAGCCACTGTACTTTAACCTGGGAAACATAGCAAGACCCCGTCTTTAAAAAAATAAACAGGAGAATGAGACTCCAAAGTGTTGATAGCTAGTGATGTGTGGCCTCTTTATAGGGTGTGTATGATTTTGTATTTTACAAATCCTTCTATAGATAATATAACCAAATTAACGGTAAAAACTCAGTAAGGTATGCAGGCAACTAGAAAATTATTAACCCTATTTTATAGACGAATAAGTCAAAGTCCAGAAACAGAAAAGTATCTTTTATAAAAAGTACACATGAAGTTAGTGACAAAATCGAATCTCAGTCCCCAGTTCCTGCTGTGCTACTGAGGCTAAACCGCAGCCGGGCCTGTGGCAAATGTTTAATCAGCTGTTGACTGAAGAAAATAAGGTCCGCCTGCCCAACAGCAACCGTTTGTAGAGTCTCAGAGGCCCAGCTTCTGTCTGTATCTACCTCATGCCCCAGAGGCAGCTTCTAGCAGCTCCGGAGAGCATCCTGCCAGTGGGAGTTGACCCAGCTGCGCCCCCTTTGAGGGAGAAGTGTGAGGAATTTCCTTACAATGGGGTGGGGAGTTGCGAAGATACTCCTTCCTGAAGGTCTGGCAGTCTGGACCGGGGTGGCAACTGGGCGGAGATGATTCCGCTCACGGGAACCCTACCTAGTAACCCGACCTAGTAACGTAACCTCAGAGCCGTTCCTCAGCTAGAAAACAAAGGGATTAGGCCGGGCGCGGGTTTGTAATCCCAGCACTTTGGGAGGCCGAGGCCGCAGGGTCACTTAAGCTCAAGAGTTCGAGACCAGCCTGGGCAACATGGCGAGACCCCCATCTCTACAAAATATTTAAAAAGTTAGCAGGTTGGGAGGTTCGGTTGAGCCACGGGTTCGAGGTTGCACTGAGCCATGATCGCGCCACTGGGGTCTGAGCGAGACCACCTCCCTGAAACAGAAAACGAAGGGGTCGGGTATAATGATTTCTAAGGTCCCTCGTAGTGAACCCTAAAAGTTATCACACCCCACGGTGGGGCTATCGCGGCTTGAGGGCAGCCACAGCCTCAGCCGGGGTTTCTGTCCGGGCCCTGATGGGTCCCCAGCAGGGAGAAACAGCGTCCGGCGCGCTGTGGCGCTCGGCGAACGTGCGCTGAGTTCAGGCGTTACAACGGGGTCGCACGCGGAGTCCAGGCCTGGCAGGGGTGCCAGGACGCCGCCGGCCATCTGGGGCCCGACCTCCCAAGGTCTCCTCCCCGCGGCCGGCGGCTAGCGCGCTCACGGCGCCCGGGCCTTGCGCGCCCGCCGGGGGCGAGGTCAGCCCTCCCCCCTCGGCTATTGGCTCCAGAGAACAAAGGAGCCGCCCCGCGGGCTGCTCCGATAGGGCCGGGCGGGTCATCTGAGCGGCGCAGCCAATGGAGTGGCTGGGCGGCCCCGGGGATGGCCAGGCCCGCCAGCCAATCAGGCACCCGTGCCCGCCCCGCCTGCCCCGGGAATGGCCAGGGCCGGGAGCCCGGTGCCCAAGTCGCCCTCGGGGTGGCAGTTCCCGTTAACCTTAGCCACAAAGTCAAAGGTATTTATTTCCCCGTCGCCTCCCTCCGAGTCCCTCTGCATTTTGGGCGGGGAGGGGCGGTGCGAGGGATGGACCAGCGCCCGGCCCCGCTCCTCCCGTGCTGCCTCCGCCCGGCCCGGGCTGGGGCGGAGGGATGGGGCGGGGGCCTGGGGTGCCCCGAGCCCCGCGCGCCCCCCGAGCCCCGGGTCTCAAGCGTTCCCTCTGCCCCGACACAGCCGAGGGGAAAGGGGCGCGGCCGAGGGTGGGGAGGGCGCCAGGCCAGGGCAGCGAGGTTAGGAGGGAGGCTAGTGAGAATGGAGGGAGGACGCGGTGGCGAGTAGAGGGGTCGCCCGCGGGCGGTCTCTCCTGGGCTGTCCCGTTGTTCCGAGTTCCCCGTCCCTGTTCGCCTCCCTGATAGATCAGTTTCTGGGGGCAGGAACCCCAATGCTCGCTGCAGAGTGACAGACACATAGTAGGTGACCAATAAATGTGTGATTAAACGAGCGGGGATAAGGATTGGGGGTGGAGATAAGTGAGAGGGAAGCACCGCAGAAGTTGGAAGTGTGTGGTGTCGGGTGTGGCGGAGAACTCCTCTCTAGGAAGATGGGCACAGCAGCCGCGAACTCGGTGGGGCGGGGTGCGGGCATCCCCTCTGTGAAGAACGTTGAGGATATCTACATGTGGAAGGTGTGGAGATGGGTCCTCCTTCGGCCCTTTGAGCAAGATGATCTGAGCTGGGGCTGGGTGTGGTCAGAGCCCCAGGGGTTGGAGGCGGACGACAGCCCAAGGCTTCACAGCTAACTGTTCCCATGTTCATCTGTAAAATGAAGAGATTAGATGGCAGTTGTCTCCTTTCAGCTTGAAGGTTCATGCTTCCGTGCTTCAAATCTGTTTTGTACTGAAATTTCTTTTATTTAAGTGTTCCCTTATGACAGTTTTTATTAATGGATTACTGTGTGTGGAGCCTGTACTGGGTGCAGGGGAGAGAGAAGGACCCTGTGTTAAGATGCATGTAGTCTTGTGCAGACTAACAAATTGATGACAATGATGATTCCATGTAGATGGTCCTAGGTGCACAGGTTAAACAGAGAAGGGATTCCTGGCTGTGCCTGGTGTGTCCAAAAAGGCTTCCTGGTCAAAGCGATCCCTAATCTGGGCTGGGAAGGGGAGAACTGAGCAAGGGCCTTCCAAGGTTGGTCACAGGGTGCGAGGACACGGTGAGTTCAAGAGCCACGAGAGGATGGGGCGTGTCGGGGTGCAATGGGGAAAGATGAGCAGAGTTGAGTTCTCAGTTCCCTCTTATCCGAGGTGTGCGTGCCAGCAAGTCCATTTGGTGGGGGTCTGGGTTTCTGAAAAACAACTCAAGGACATATGCTAAGATGTTACCTTTAGTTTCTTTAGGCAACCACACGTTTCGTGTGGTCTGACTTCCTTGCTATTATTTTAGCTACGATTACCTTCTTATCAGGTTGCACATTTACTTCTCAGGACCAGCTAGGTGCCTGGAATTTCCCTGGAAAGAACTCAAGATTTTCCTTTATTTTCATGATTGGAGGGCACAGCAGGTGCCTGAAGGGGTCCCTGCTCCATCTCACTTTGCTTTCCCAAGGTCCTTTGAATGCAGCAAGGGATGCAAACGTGTTTATTAATTAAAATGTGACACCTCTTCAGAGATTGTTAGCAGCTGGGTTTATCCTCGGCCTTCAGCTCAGATGCAGGCCCTGACAGGTTCCTGAATATTAGAATTGGGGCCGAGGAATGTAAGTGCAGCTCTCGCCTCTGAAGGGAGGTGGGTGAGGAGGAGGGGGCCAGGGGTGTGGCGCAGGGGAGGTGTGGGTGGGACAGTTCCAGCAAGCGTGTTTACCTCTGGCCGGTGAAGGAAGTCTTGGAAGGAGGTACCTCAGGATCATGGCTGGGGTTGAATTGGGGACCTCTGGGAGGTGGGCAGGCATAGTGGATAAGGCAAGTGACCTGCTTGCATGCAGATCAGGTCTCCTGGGAATGTCGAGGGGAGCAAACTGAAGCCATGAAACCAGGCTGGCTGTTCATACCCTGAGGTACAGTTCTTATAACCCTGAGTGGGGAGCGGGTGATGGCAACAGCAACGACCTAAATCGAATTTGTCTTGCACCTTGGGAATGTCTCTCAGAGTCCTCTCACACTGTTTGCGTCCCGCCATCCCCACCCCCCACCGCCCCCGCCCCACTTGATATAACAATTCTGTACCACGAGCAAGCGTTATTTCCATTTTCAGGTGGGGAAACTGAGGCCCAGAGAAGGAAAGTGGTTTGCCTGGGATCATGTGGCTAACCAGAAGCAAACCCAATCTCAGTCCCTGTCTGGGGCCTCTCAGCGGCTTTTTCCACTATGGCCTGTTCTTTGGGTTGGACAGTGGCCCGCCCTTTCCCTTGGCTCCCCTCCTCTGTTCCCTCCCCAGATTGAGGACTGGGGTGTTTGGGAGACTGAGGTCTGAAGATGGTGGAGTAGGAAGAGGGGAAGGGTCAGGGCTGGGAGAGTGGTCACAGTGGGGGTGGCCTTGTGCTGAGTGGGATCCGGGAAGTTGGAGAGGAGCAGGGTGGGTCATGGGGGGTGGGACAGGGGAGTTGTGGGAGGCTTCAGGGTGCCTGATGCTGGGTGTGGGGATGGAGGCCTCCAGGTGGGGGAGGGGATGCCCACCTGGTTTGGGCTGGGACCTCTGGGAGGGGCATGCAGAACCACCCTGGTAAGTGGAGGGCTCTGCAGACAGTGCCACAACCAGAGCCGTGGCAAACCCTCTTCCTCCTGCATGGTGGAGCGTGGAGGCTCCTGTGTGGCGCTGGGGGCCTCTGAGATTCCCAACTGGCTGGAAGGAGTGATGGCTTAGGAGGAGTGAGTGGCAGCGGGGACGCTGGCAGAGAGGCTTGTACAGATACTGCCCGATGCATCCGGCTCAGGCTTGCCGCCCTGTGGTGCTCCTCCCAAACTCAGGGAGCAGGTATTTCCGTTCACCTGCGCCTTCAAGAACCTGAGCTCAAAGCGCTGCAATGACTGGCCAGGGACTAGCAGCGGCTCAGTGGTGGGTGGGCTGGGACTTGGGGTTCTTGATTAAGACATGGGGTCCTGAGGGGAGGGACCAGGAAGGGTGGCCTTGAGAAGGACATCCCTGCCAGCCTCAGGCAGTGGGCTTCTAGGGGGAGACTAGGGCTGAGGAGCCAGCCAGGTGGCGGCTGAGGGTCACCCAAAGATGGCTGAAGGGGAGAGGGCCCGCTGCATCCCCTTGGGCCAGAGCCCACAGGCCAGGCCCTGAGGATCTTAGGCTGCACCAGGCTTGCCGGACACAGGCTCATTGTCTCTAGGGCTTTCTGTCTTGCTGTAACGTCTCTCCAGCCAGCTGCAGCTCCTGCTGACTTATCCCACCCCAGCGCAGGTCATCCAACGGTGACTTATGGCCCCGGCCTCCTGGCTCGATGAGGGTATGTTGCTTCTGTTTCTACCTCTCTGAGTTCTTTTCCTCGGAGCAAGTGACCCTGATGGGATGGCCATGGGTGTACAAGGATACTTGTGTCATGGGTGGCTTTGCAGTTCTGTGTTCCTAAGTGTGCTGTGCAGTGATTCGTGCTGCCCTGGTTCACAGTGGCACGTTTGTGTGTCTGTGGATCTGTAGGTGTGTCTGTGAGTTTTAAAAAATATCTCACATTCTCTGTATTTGCATAGACAGTTTTGCAGGTGTTCTCACGTAGTTTTGTGTCTTTGAACTTTTGTTTACTTAGCTGTATTTAGATATGATTGTATCTGGGTGTGTTTGTGTGTGGTTTAGCATTTACATCAGTTTCTTATGTCCCTATGATCATATATTTAAATTAAAAACATCTGCTATTAACTGAAATCAGAGGCAGAGAATACCATTGCCTGGTCCTGAGGGATTTCTTAATAGTGACAGAAGACTGGAGCCTGAGGAGCCACCTCTTGGGTCCTCCATTGTTTCATTCACTCATCCGTTCATTCATTCAATACACATTACACACCTTCTGCATATGAGGGACGCGCAGGTGTGGGAGCAAGCCCCCGCTCCCTGGGGCTAACCTGAGTGAGGGGTCTCACAGGGAGAGAGGACTGGGTGAGGACATAGCAGTCAGGTATGGGCTGCAGGAGGGCAGGGAGGCGCTGGGGACCCGGTGGAGTTGAGAAGGATGAGGCTATAGAAAGGGGCAGCATGGCAGGGAGGCATTGGCTGGGCATGGGCTGGGACTGGAGAGGCCAGTTTCTGTGGGGGTCTCCTATGGAAGACCAGCTGAGCTGTGCCCAGCAAGTGAGGACCTGCTGGGACCTCAGGGCTGAGAAGGGCCTGATACTGGGCCTTTGGCTGGGGTTTGGGGAGCTGCCCCCACCCCCAAAAGCCTTAGCGCCTAGTGGCGGATCCTGCTCCCGCTCCACTAGCAGCAGATGATACCTGTGGCATGGTCTGCTTCTGACTGCCCGACCTGGGGCGCTGAGGCTGTGAGAGCTGTGCTGGGCTGGTGGGAGGTTCCAGGGGCGGCGATGGGGAGGACCTTGCCTCTTTCTGGCCTGTGGCCTTTCTCCTCCCCCAGCTGCTGTCTGGCCGCCCCACCCCCAAGTCTCTGCCACAACCAAAGCTCCTTTGTTGCCTCCCCCTGCCCCGGGCCTCTCCACCTGCTGCTAGCTCAATCCCCTCTTTGTGTGGTTGGTCTTCAGTTGTCATGGCAGCTGGGCCCAGGCTGAGGCCTGCCCACTGTGAGGCTCTTAACTGAACTGCAGCCTGACCCGGTGCGCGGAGGGCCGGGCCAGGGCCAGGCGTGGGAAGGGGGCCCCTGTGTGTCCTGCTCCCCTCAGAGCCCGAGGGGCAGCAGAGAGGAAAGGTGGTCCGGTAGGGGCCCGGGGGCCCTTGTGCGATAGACAAAGCGGCCTTCCAAGACTTGGTGTGGGCACTGGTGGGAGATGGCGCATCTGGCCCTTGATGCCTGTCTTCCAGCCGGGGCGCTTTGCTGGGCAGCCTGCTCACCTGGCTCCTGGGTGTCTCCAGGTGGCTGAGGACATGTCAGGATGGTAGGTTAGGAGGGGCCCGCCATGCACAGAGCAGAGTGAAAGGCAGAATAGGAGAGAAGCTTAGGGTGGGGACGTGTGTGTCTGGCCAGCCTGGAACATGACACATGGAGGGCTTTCCTGGATTTTGTCTGTAGGACACCTGCTGTGCCATTTCCCAGACATAGCCCACCTGAGCACACAGGTAGAGGCGGGTCCCCAAAGACTTGGCCTCCCCTCATTCCTGTCCTCTGTGTTTCCCCCTTTGAATTTCTCACTTCTTCCTCTTGGGTCCTCTTCCTTCTGTCTCCATTTCTGTTCTTACGTAAGCCACAGGCTGCTTCCCCTCGAGCCCTGGTATGGCCCGAGACAGAGGCACCGAGGCTTGAGGGAGGAGCTGCTCTGGGAGGTCCCGGACAGTGGAAGGCCTGCTACTACCTGGAGTGGCTGTTAGGTCCTAATACCTCTTGGGAGGCAGGGTGGGTGAAGTAGGACTGTCTTTGATTTGCCTTGGGGGTCTCGCTCTGTGGAGACCCAGGCCCATCCTTCTGTCCTCCTGAATTTGTGGCCTGGGCTCTGCCCTCCTCGGTCTGAGTTCCCCTTACCAAGGTGGCTTCTCTGTCCACTAGCCCCTCTGCGCCTCTTCAGGTGGATGTTAAGTCCAGTTGGTGAGAGGTTTCCCAAGATGTGGCATGCAGAAGCTCACAGAGTGGCCCCAAGGGAGGAGGGTGGCGAGGGAGGGAGGAGCCCCCAGCACCCATCAGAGCCCCACCAGGGGCTCCTCCCGCCCCCTTCCCCACTGCTCGCCTTTTCTCTGCACCACAAGCAGGTTCTGTAAGAAACCATGGTAGGCATGCGTACAGGCCCCTGTTGGGGAAATAGAATTGAAAACAAAATCTCTTGCCAACCCAGAAAAGCTCTTTGCAAAAGTAGAAGAGAAAAACAGCTTTTAAAAGATTGAATGTGCATGAAACCAGAATGTGGTGCGCACCATGGACAATCCCCCGAGCAACTGCAAAGACGGGAGCTCTGAGCCTGCAATACCCCAAGCGACTGCAAAGACGGGAGCTCTGAGCCTGCAATACCCCGAGTGACTGCAAAGACGGGAGCTCTGAGCCTGCAATACCCCGAATGACTGCAAAGACGGGAGCTCTGAGCCTGCAATCCCTGAGTAACTGCAAAGACGGAAGCTCTCAGCCTGCATGTAGCCGGCAGGTGCAGCCCGTTACAGACATGTTCTCAGGATAAACAGCAACCAGCCCTCCAGCAAGAGGACTGGACATTACCATTTGTCACACGCAGGCAGGTCGTCCTAAATTCACCTCATAATTGGAGTGACCATCTGTGTTAGCTAATTGCCTTTACCCACAGGAAAAATAAAGTTCTTATATTTTTATGACAGGAGATAGTTTTGTGATTTGGAGCCAGGCACCTGCTGAAATTAGGCTCCTACCCTCCCATGGAGACTGGGAGGCAGGGGTGATGTCTTCCTTGATACTTAAATTTCAAAGAAATGGCCCCCAGGACCTTGGGAAAGACAGTCCTGGGTTGTAATGTTGGCAGAAGGCTTATTTAGCTTTTTTTTGAGACAGAGTCTCACTCTGTCACAATCTCGGCTCACTGCAACCTCTGCCTCCTGAGTTCAAACAATTTTCCTGTCTCAGCTTCCCGAGTAGCTGGGATTACAGACATGTGCCACTACACCCAGCTAAGTTTTGTATTTTTAGTAGAGACGGGGTTTCCCCACGTCGGCCAGGCTTGTCTCAAACTCCTGACCTCAGGTGATCTACCCACCTCAGCCTTCCAAAGTGCTGGGAATACAGGCATGAACCACCGTGCCCAGCCTTATTTAACTTTTAAAAAGATTTATTTCTACTTGAGGAGCATTTACTGCAAAAATAAAAAATAAAGATTCACATGCATCTCAAAAAGACAGAGATAGAGCTTATTAATTAGAAGTTTCTAAACAAAATGCTCTTGAAAAAAGTGGGTGTCTCTTCTTCTCTTTGCACCAGGGAAAATGACTTTCTGCATTTTCTAGATTCATATTCACCCCTCCCCCGACGTCTCTTGTCAGGGTCCAGATTCCCAGTCTGTGTGTGTGCCCCCAGTGTCTGGGCTCTGAAGGGGACCTAGGAGAGGGAGTCTGGGTCTCTGCGAGGCTCTCGGGCCCTGGGGTGGGTGTTTCTGTGGGGGTGGCCGAGCCAGGGTGCCTGGGAGGAGGGGCTGACTGAAATCTGGAAGAGCCCCTCCCTGAGGCAGCAGGAAGGACGAGCTGTGCATCTCTGTGGGGCAGCCACATCTTTGCTCTGCTAGGGGGTACAGGTGCACGGGACCACATCCCTGTCCTTAGGAGAGGTGCACCCCCAGCGAGGAGGAGATGAGTCTTCAGGCTGCACAGCTCCTGGCCAGGCAGGGCAGCACATTCCTGCCACCTGCATTTGTTACGGGCCCTCTGTGTGCCCGGCTCTGCTCTGAGCCCTGCGGATCCAGCAGCAAGCATGAAGAGCTCCTGACCTTGCTGTGGTGGGGAACAGAAAAGTTAAGATCATGTCAGGTGGCAAAAATGTTAGAGAGGAAACGGGAGGTGGAGTTAGGCTGGTGACTGTAAATAGGAGCGCCAGGGGCCAGCACGGTGGCTCACGCCTGTAATCCCAGCACTTTGGGAGACCGAGGTGGGTAGATCACAAGGTCAGGAGTTCAAGACCAGCCTGGCCAATATGGTGAAACCCTGTCTCTACTAAAAATACAAAAATTAGCTGGGTGTGGTGGCGCACACCTGTAATCCCAGCTACTTAGGAAGCTGAGGCAGGAGAATCACTTGAACCCAGGAAGTGGTGATTGTAGCGAACTGAGATTGGGCCACTACACTCTCAGCCTGGGCAACAGAGGAAGACTCTGTCTCAAAAAAAAAAAAAAAAAAGAAGCACAAGGGATGCCTGCTCTGAGAAGGGGACATTTAAGCTGGGAGCTGATAGAAGTGTGGGGGGCAAGCCAGGCGGGGATCTGCGGTGAGGGGACAGCCAGGGCAAAGGCGTGGGGCATCCACACAGCAGTGTGACCTGTCCTGTCATGTTCCAGGCACAGAGTGAGCCACTCAGGAAGCGCTCAGAAGACTTGGGCATAAAAACAAAAAAAGAAGGCCGGGCGCAGTGGCTCACGCCTGTAATCCCAGCACTTCAGGAGACTGAGGCGGGCGGATCATGAGGTCAGGAGATGGAGACCATCCTGGCTAACACGGTGAAACCCCGTCTCTACTAAAAATACAAAAAAATAGCCAGGCGTGGTGGCGGGCGCCTGTAGTCCCAGTTACTCAGGAGGCTGAGGCAGAATGGCGTGAACCTGGGAGGCGGAGCTTGCAGTGAACTGAGATCCCGCCACTGCACTCCAGCCTGGGCAACAGAGCGAGACTCCATCTCAAAAAAAAAAGATGAATCCTACATCAGTGAACTGGGCATGGGCTCAGCAATGCCCAATTGACCGTGTGTGTTCTTGTATGGAGATGGCTGGCCCCGAAGCTCCCCAGAGGGATTTGTGCTAGAACATGGATGGGGACTTTGAAAGAGGGGGCGGGTGACGGAGGAAACGTGTAGGGCCATTCTGCCTTCCGGGTGCATTCCTCATGGCCAGTCGCAGACATGTCTCTAACCTTACTCCAGGCTCCTGCTTCTCAGGCGTGGTGTCCATCACATGCCGCCCTGCGAATGTTGAGGGTGTGGGCTCTCGTGTGGGAGTTAGAAGACCTGGGTTTTTGTCCAGCTCTGCCATTCATCACCTCCATGACTCTGGGCACATCAGGGGTCCTTCGTGGTCTCAGTTTCCTCTTTTGTAAAATGGGAATTATGGCTGTTTTACCTTCTCAGCAGGTATGCTTACAATGAAAGAACCCCTGCCCATGTCGAATGTGGCTATGGATAGAAAAGCTCTTTGGAAAAGAGAGTGCTTTATGGGATGGGAGGGGGGCTGGGGACCCTGAGTTTTGTCCTTGTCCCACAGGCCCATTCTCTTTCTTCTGCTTCTCTTTCTGACAGATGGCAGGAAAGGGACACAGCCGGCGCTGATGCTGGGAGGCCTCCAGGGATGGAGAGTGGCCTGGCTGGCAACGGCACAGGTAAGAGAGAAGAAAGAGGAGGCAGGGGAGCGGGGTCTCCTCTGCTGAGGTCACGTGCCCTTATCTTTTCTAAAGCCAGGCGCGAGCCAGTGCCCTCAGCCAGTAGCTAGTACATCCCACTGATGCAGAATTTCAGGGTGGGGACCAGGACTTAGACAGCCATGTCAAAGAATGGAACAATGACAGAGGCTGTGGGAGCTCAAAAAATGGCAAAGCCTGGTCCATTAACTTGCCCAGCAAGGGGACACATGTGCACCCATGCCTTGTAGAAATTGAGGTGTTATTTACGTGCTAGAACAGGGAGTTTGTGGGGTTATACTAATTAGACACGGAAAACTGGCACTCTAGGTAGGACGATTGGAACAAACCTGTGGCTCATCAGTCAGGACATTGTCTTCAGTTCAGTCCATTAACGCTTCCTGGGGGTCACTCAAAGTTCAGGGTCGTTATTGGCTAAGCCGCTTAGAGCTGGTTGTGATGAAATACATGCTGCCAGTGGAAAGTTTGCCCGCACAGTCATGTGCTTTTGGCTGGAGCCCCTGCCCAGCGTCCCTGCGCCTGGAGTGGAGCAGCCCCTGGCGTCTGTGTGTAGCACTTGCAGCCCTTCCTGGAGTGCCCTGTCGCATGTGGCGTGTGGCCCAGCTGCCAGAAGGGCTCTAGGCCCCTTGGCAGGGTTGAGTCCAGAGCACACCGGCTACCCTTGGGAACCCTGCCCTTTGGCACAGTGTGACTCGGGTTTCTTTACCTCCCTCTCCCCTCCCAGGGGAATTGCCCCATAGACCCCAGGGCCCCTTCCTCATTGCCTCTGTGGGAAGAGCCGCCTCCCCTCCCAGGAATATCATGTCAGGAGACCCAAGACTGAGACAAAAATCAGGCAGCGGGGTAAAAGAGAAACGTGGCCGCAAGTGCAAAACATGGCAGCGTGGTGTGTGGACACAGACCCTCAGGGAGCCTAGCCATGCAGCTGCGTGCCTGTCCAAGGAGCCAGGTGGTGGCAGGAGCACCCTAGCTGCATGTGTGTTTTGGAAATTCCAGTGGAACTCAGAGCACATGTGCCCAGCGTGTTATAGAAGGCCCTTTCCCCAGATAGACTCATACCTGGGATCCTGAGTCACTGTGAGGTTGCTCTGGTTGATGTGAGCTGTGGTCTGCTGGGGTCCTCTCTCCTCTCTACGGCAGCTTCTGGGGAACCCTGTGGTTTTAGAGAAGAGTTTGAAAAACACTAGCCTAGACTCCTGGAGACACGGAGGCACGTGGGGACTGGCCTCTGGCCAGACTGAGGGAACCACTCATCTGGAGGACCCCGTTTTTCAGACAATTGACAGCTTACCTCTTTTAAGCAACTTTTAATTTTTATTTGTGTGTGTGTGTGTGTGTGTGTGTGTGTGTGTGTGTGTGTGTGTGTGTGTGTGTGTGTGTTATGGCAAAATATACGCAACACTTACCATTGTAACCATTTTTAAGTGTACGGTTCAGTGGCATCAGTACATTCAGTGTTGTGTAGCCATCACTGCCATCTATTTCCACAACATTTTCATCACCTGGGAAACTGTACTCATGGAGCAATAATCTGTGCTTTGCACCTTCTAATTTTATCTGAACCATTAAAACCTAAAACATGATCCTTTTCATGATGACTGAGGAGCGGTGCCATTATTTCGGGACTCTCCACGGGCAGGCCAGTGGCCTGCGCTCTTCATATGGATACCTGAACCCTCGGGAGTGTGCCTGGGGCTGCTGGAGCCCCAGCACACTCCACCTCAGCTCCAGGGCCTCCAGGGATGCGTGCTGGACTTAGCACCTCGCCCAACCCAGTCATTTGCGTCCGCCAGGGGCCCTTCGGCAGGTGGATGTGACAGCACTGTCCTGGCATCCTGGGGCTCTCTGGCCCACAGTCATCTTTCTGGCTGGAGAGGGCTGAGGGGGAACCAGCCATCAGCCACCTGATGGACACAGCACAGCCACCGGTCTCAGATTGGTGTGACTCATCCTGGATCATGCCTGTGTGTATACATAGAGACATATGGTTTAATTTTTTATGAATTCAATCAGATGATTCATATGGTTTTTCAACTTGTTTTTTGTTTTCTCTTAAAATGTTTTGAGAATCTTTTCATATTGGCATACATAGTTCTTTTCCATTCTTTTTACTTGATGCATAGTATTCCATATTATGAAGGGAACTATTTTTTAGGATAATTAAGTTATTTTCCATTGTTTGCTGATTACAAAGAACACTTCAGTGAATATTCCTGGACATTCCTCTTTACACTCGTATGTCAGTATTTCTTTGGTGAACACGTGGGATGGAATTGCTGGCTGGAAAGGGCCAGAAGGCTCTCCACACTTCTAATTTTAATAAACACTGTCAGATCGTCCTCCACAAATTCTGCCTCAGTTTATGCTCTCAGAATACCCATGTGTATACTTGTTCTCCTGTGTAGTGTCCACGCATATTGTAAAGTAGAGGTATTATTGATTTTTTAAATTTTTGTTGGTATGAGGGGTTGAAAGATGCTACACTTTTAGTTTGCATTTTGTTGATGACTAGTGGGGTTGAACCTCTTTTTATCACGTATAGGAGTCTGTTTTATAGTCTGGATACTAAGCGTTTGTCTATTCTATATCTGCACATATTTTTTCCTGGACTTGCACTGTCCAGCACGTGGCCTAGCCACATAGGACTCTTCTAGTTTAAGTTTAGGTTTAAATTAACTTAAGTACGGCCAGGCGCGGTGGCTCACGCCTGTAATCCCAGCACTTTGGGAGGCCCAGTTCGGTGGATCACCTGAGGTCAGGAGTTTGAGACCCGCCTGGCCAACATGGTGAAACCCCATCTCTACTAAAAATACAAAACTTAGCTGGGTGTGGTGGTGGGCGCATGCAATCACAGCTACTTGGGAGGCTGAGGCAGGAGAATCACTTGAACTCCAGAGGTAGAGGCTGCAGTAAGCCAAGATCGCGCCATTGCATTCCAGCCTGGGTGACTGAGGGAGACTCTGTCTCAAAAATAAATAAATAAATAAAAATTAGTTAATTAATTTAAATACAATTAAAAATGTCATTTCTTAGTTGCACTAGTCACATTTCAAGTGCTCAGTAACCACATGTGTTTCAAGAGCTCAGATGTAAACTGTTTTTGCTATTGCAGAAGGTTCTGTGGGAAAATGCTGCTCTAAATTCCCATTTCTTTTTCCTTTCTTTCTTTTTTTTTTTTTTTTTTTTTGAGATAGAGTTTTTGCTTTTTTTGCCCAGGCTGGAGTGCAGTGGTGTGATATCAGCTCACTGCAACCTCTGCCTCCCTGGTTCGGGTGATTTTCCTGCCTCAGCCTCCTGAGTAGCTGGGATTGCAGGCACATGCTACCACACCCGGCTAATTGTTTTGTATTTTTAGTAGAGACGGGGTTTCACCATGTTGGCCAGGCTGGTCTTGAACTCCTGACCTCAGGTGATCCTCCCGCCTCGGCCTCCCAAATTGTTGGGATTACTGACGTGAACCACTGCACCTGGCGGAAATTCCCATTTCTATTGGACTTATGTTTATAGTATCTTTTGTCATACAGATGTTTTAAATTTAGTTTTTATCTTTTGTATCCTGTTTAAGAAGGCTTTTAATTACCTCTGGATTCTAAGCAAATTCTCCTAATTCTTCTAATACTTCCATTTCCTTTTTTTAAGCTGGCACTTAAGTCCATCTGGAACTGATTTTTATAAACAATCTTCACTATGAATCTAACTTAAATATTTTCCCCAAAGAGAGAGTTGGTTCTAAGTCGATGAATAGCCTTTTTCCATGGACTTGGAATATCTCTTGTATCATGTATCAAACAATACTGTTCCATTGGCCTATTTGTCTATTATGTGTACTGTACATTATTGTAATGATTATATTTAGCATTTTTACTTTTACTTTTATTGTTTTGTGGAAGGGAATCTGACTTGCAGCCTTAAGTCACCAGGCCCACCATGGAAGAGCCATGCCAATAACAATAACAACTGTGTCAGTCAAGAGTTCGGTTTTATTTTCTTTTTTTCCCAAATGGATCTCTCTCTCTCTCTCTCTCTCTCTCTCTCTCTCTCTCTCTGCAGTGGCATGATCAGGGCTCACTGCAGCCTCAGCCTCCTGGGCTCAAGCAGTCCTCCCACCTCAGCCTCCAGAGTAGCTGGGACTACAGGTGTGCACCACCACACCCAGCTAATTTAATAAATTTTTTATACAGACAGGTGTTGCTATGTTGCCTAGGCTGGTCTTCAACTCCTGCACTTAAGCAATCCTCCTGCCTTAGCCTCCCAAAGTGCTGGGATTACAGGCAAGAGCCACTGTGCTTGACCTAGACTTTATCTTTTAGAGCAATTTTAGCTTTACAGAAAAATTGTGAAGAAAGTAGAGTTCCCCTATACCTTAGCTCCAGTTTCTCCTATTATTAACATTTTGCATTCATATGGTACATTTGTTATAACTGATGAACCAATATAGATACATTTTTATTACCTAAAGTCTGTAGTTGACATTAGGGTTCTCTTTTGGTCTTGTACCTTACCTGGGTTTTGACAAAGGCATAATGTCCCGTATCACTATTATAGTATCATACAGAATATTTCACTGCCCCCCAAGTTCCCTGTGCTCCGTCTGTTCATCTCTCCCTACCCCCCAACCCCTGGCTACCACTGGTTTTTAAATTCTCTCTGTAGTTTTGCCCTTTCCAGAATGTCATATAGTTGAAGTCATACAGTGTGTAGCCTTTTATGTTGACGTCTTTCACCTAGAAGTTTGCATGTAGGGTACCTCCATGGCTTTTTTGACTTAATAGCTTACTTCTTTTTATTGTTGACTAATATTCCATCATGCGGAGTTATCCATTCACCCACTGAAGGACACTGTGGTTCCTGCCCAGTTCTGGCAGTTAGGAATAAAGCTATAAAAATTCATGTGTAGTTTTCTGTGTGGACAGAGGTTTTCAGCTCTTTTGGGTAAATACCTAGGAGAGCGACTGCTGGATTGGATGGTAAGCCTGTATTTAGCTTTGTAAGAAACTGCTGAACTGCCTTCCAGAGTGGTGGCAGCACTTTGCATTTCCACCAGGAAGGAAAGAGCCCCTGTTGCTGCTCAGCCTCACTGTGTGCACATGCCAGTGATCTGGATTCTAGCCACTCTCATTTATTTTATTTTATTTTTATTTTTTTGAGACAGAGTTTTGCTCTCGTTGCCCAGGCTGGAGAGCAATGGTGTGATCTCGGCTTGCTGCAACCTCTGCCTCCTGGGTTCAAGTGATTCTCCTGCCTCAACCTTCTGAGTAGCTGGGATAACAGGTGCCTGCCATCACACCCAGCTAATTTTTTGTATTTTTAGTAGAGATGGGGTTTCACCATGTTGGCCAGGCTGGTCTTGAACTCCTAACCTCAGGTGTTCCACCTGCCTTGGCCTCCCAAAGTGCTGGGATTACTGGCATGAGCCACTCTGCCCGGCCAATTCTAGCCATTCATATGTGTACAGTGGTAGCATTTTTGCTTTTAATGTCGTATAAGCCAAATTCTTCTTTGTTCATTTTTAGGATTTTCTGGGCAATTTGTATAGATGATAAATTTTACAGTTCACTTAAATAGGATTACACTGAATTTAAACATTATTTCAGAGTGAAGAACATCTTTGGCTTCTCATCTAAGAATATGATATACATTGCTCCTTTTCTTTAGTTTTCTTTATCTCTTTAGTAAAGTTTAATAGTTTTCTTTGTATATGTTTTGCATGTTTATTGGGTATATTCCTAGTTACTTGTATTGCCATTTTTTAAAAAGTGATTTTTGTATGTTTTTGTACTGGGCAATCTTGCTGAACTCTTATTTCTATTTCTCAGTGGATTCCCTTGCACATTCCAGGTTGTTAATAATCATAAACAAATGGCAGCTTCCTCTCCTTTCCAATGTTGATGCGTTTCTCTTTGTTTTCCCCTCTGCCTTGGCTAGTTCCTCAAGGACAGCCGGCTGATTTCAGGGATGGTGAGCATCGCATTTTGTTTCTACCTGTAATGGGCTTCTAATCTTTTGCCTTTGGTTATAATGTTCGCTGTAATTTCTAGAGTACATTCTTTGTCAACTTAGTTTCCTCTATTCTTAGTTTGCTAGGAGCTTTCTTCTCTCTCTCTCTCTCTCCCTCCCTCCCTCCCTCCCTCCCCTCTTCCTCTTTCCCTACCTTCTCCCTCCTTTGATCCTTCCCTCCAGAAATAATGTTGAATTTTATCATATGACTTTTTCACATCTATTGGGAGTTTTTTCACTTTTAATAAGGTAATGTTATAAATTATATTGGGCCATCTTTGCTTTCCTGGGGAAAATCTCAGCAAGGTTAGGGTATGTTATTATTTTGATACCACTGAAGTTGCTTTGCTAATGTTTGTGTCTATGTTCAAAGAATGATAAACCTTTTGCCCACTTCCATTCTTGGCTTGATACTGGAGTTATGCTAACCTTGTAGACTTTTCTTTCCCTTTGCTCCTATTCACTGTAATAGTTCATATAAGGTGGAAAAAGTCCTCACTTGAGGCTTTAGCAGCACCTGTTTATATAGTTACAGAGCCTGTTACCCATTTTTGAGGTACACTGAGATGTTCTTCTCAGTCTCTTTTAGTTGTTTATGTAGTCAGATTTTCTACCTACTCTTGGGTCAGTTTTAGTTTACATTTTCTTGCAAAATCTTCTATTTCATATAGATTTTCAAATTTATTTATATAAAGTCCATATTTGGGGATTTTCAGAATCCTTTTTGCGGCTACATGTCCCTTATCTATAATCTGTTTTTATCTTTATTAATGCCGTTCTTCTACTTCCTTTGGGTTTATTTTGTTGGGTTTGTAACGTTGACGTCTGTTTAAAGATTTTTCTCTTTGTTCACAGCTGTTTTATTCCACCTACTTTTAATTACATGTAAACCTTTTTGGAAAGGTGCATGGATCACAAGCTCTGTAAATTCTTATAAAGCAAACATTCCCCTGTAACTAGCACCCACATCAATGGAGAACATTGCCAGAACCTCAGAGCCCATGCTGCCTTCCACCCACAGTGCCCTCTGTAATAGGGCATTATCCTGACTTCTAACTCGTGGGTTCATTTTGCCAGTTTCTCCTCTTCACATAAATGGAATCACACAGTATGCATTCTTTAGTGTCTGTGGCAGATGGTTTCTTTATGGCTTCTTATTCTGTGAGCTGGGAAGACAAAGTGCCTCTGTAGACTTGTGCACGGCCCAAGTGTGGGCTGGGAGCAGTGGGTGTGGGACCCCCATGAGTAAAGTGGATTGGATTTAACACAAAGGGAAGGCGACACCTCTTTTGGGTGCTGAGGTCTTTCTGGCCTACTTTCTTGTTCTTGGTTTTGTTGAAGGAAGATGAGTTGCCAGACAGCCAAGGTCCCAGCAGGTGAAGTGCTCCCCCGCCATGGCTTCTGCCTTGGAGCAGGAGCCCCGACAGTATAGACGGTGCTGCAGTGACCCAGGGGTTGGTCTCCCTGACCACTGAGGGACTGAGCATGCCTTTGCTTAGAAAGCTTCCAGCACGTCGATCCTCTTAGAAAAAGAATGGTATGTTTTGCAGCTTGGCCACTTTCTCCTTGCCCCCTGGGTCAGCAGATTTCACTGGATCGGTTTCTTTAAACCTTCTCTGCATCTCCTCGGCCTCAGGGTGGAGAAGGCAGAGCAGCCGGTGCCTCGGGGATCCTGAGGCCTGGGCACCCGAGTGATTCACTTACGGTTCCTTTCTTGTATTTTTCTCCTTCACTCCTTTCTATATCTTAACCTGCCCTTGTTGTCCTTTCTGCCTTCCCGACTCTTTTTTCTTCTTTTGCCCCTGTTTTCTTAGGTTCATTTAAAAATCTTTCCCTTCTGCCTTTTCTCGTGCCCTCTTTTCAGCCCCTCTCTGCCCTCCTGCACCACTTCCCTCTCTCTTGCTCCTTCTCTCCATCCCACCCAGCGGAGCAGCAGTGACCTCTCTCCCTCCTCTCTCCCGCTTGCCTCTGGCAGGAGCTGGGCTGGTGATGAAGGTCAAGCAGGAGAAGCCGGAGCGGCTGCTGCAGACGCTGGCGCCGCAGGCCATGCTTGTGGAGAAGGACAAGGAGAACATATTTCAGCAGCACCGGGGCCTCCCGCCACGCCAGACCATGGGGCGGCCTCGAGCCCTGGGGGGACAGGAGGAGTCTGGGAGTCCAAGGTGGGCCCCTCCCACTGAGCAGGATGCGGGGCTGGCAGGCCGGGCTCCCGGGTCAGCCTCCGGCCCCCTGAGCCCCTCGCTTTCCTCCGGCGAGGGTCACTTTGTATGCCTGGACTGCGGGAAGAGGTTCAGCTGGTGGTCGTCCCTGAAGATCCACCAGCGCACCCACACCGGGGAGAAGCCGTACCTCTGCGGCAAGTGCGGCAAGAGCTTCAGCCAGAAGCCGAACCTGGCGCGCCACCAGCGGCACCACACGGGCGAGCGACCCTTCTGCTGCCCCGAGTGCGCGCGGCGCTTCAGCCAGAAGCAGCACCTGCTCAAGCACCAGAAGACCCACTCCCGGCCCGCCACCCACTCGTGCCCCGAGTGCGAGCGCTGCTTCCGTCACCAGGTGGGCCTCCGCATCCACCAGCGCGCGCACGCCCGGGACCGCCAGGGCTCCCGCGCCGGCCTGCACGAGCTGATTCAGGACGCGGCGGCGCGCCGGGCCTGTCGCCTGCAGCCGGGGCCGCCGCGGGGGCGCCCCGAGTGGGCCTGGCTGGGGCTCTGCCAGGGCTGGTGGGGCCAGCCCGGGGCCCGGGCCGCGGTCTCCGGCCCCGAGGGGCCGGGCGAGCCGCGCCAGTTCATCTGCAACGAGTGTGGCAAGAGCTTCACCTGGTGGTCGTCGCTGAACATCCACCAGCGCATCCACACTGGCGAGCGCCCCTATGCGTGCCCCGAGTGCGGCCGCCGCTTCAGCCAGAAGCCCAACTTGACGCGGCACCTGCGCAACCACACAGGCGAGCGCCCGCACCCCTGCCCGCACTGTGGCCGCGGCTTCCGCCAGAAGCAGCACCTGCTCAAGCACCTGCGCACGCACCTGCCCGGCGCCCAGGCTGCGCCCTGCCCCAGCTGCGGTAAGAGCTGCCGCAGCCGCGCCGCGCTGCGCGCCCACCAGCGCGCCCACGCTGTCGCTGAGCCCGCCGTTCCGGCCGGGGAACCGGGCGACCAGCCGCAGGCCGAGGCCATCCCGGGCTTGGCCGCGAGGCCGCGGAGCTCCCAACGGTCCCCGGGGGCCCGGGACACGCTGTGGGGCCGGGGACAAGCGGGCCTCGCTGGGCCTGGCGAGCCGCGCCAGTTCATCTGCAACGAGTGCGGCAAGAGCTTCTCGTGGTGGTCGGCGCTCACCATCCACCAGCGCATCCACACGGGTGAGCGGCCCTACCCGTGCCCCGAGTGCGGCCGCCGCTTCAGCCAGAAGCCCAACCTGACGCGGCACCGGCGCAACCACACAGGCGAGCGGCCCTACCTGTGTCCCGCCTGCGGCCGCGGCTTCAGCCAGAAGCAGCACCTGCTCAAGCACCAGCGCGTGCACCGCGCGGCCCCTGCGTGCAGCCCCAAGGAGGAGGCGCGCTAGTGGACTGGACCTCAGCGGACCCGTGGTGGTGCGGGGGATGTTTGCGGGGTGTGTGTGGGGAGTGGGGGTGGCCAGGATTGCTGGCTCTTAGAACCCCTTAGAGCGGGACCGGTGGATTCCTTAAGGCTCTGAAGGGCTGAGAACAGTTCTAGAAGCGTCCCAAAGGGTGCTGGGAAAGGTCCCAGCGTGGGTTGAGGGAGGAGGGAAGATCCGAGTTCCTCACCGCGGGCCGGGATGTGACCACCCTCTTCAGAGGTTGGACCCCAGGCTTCAAGCACCGAGTGAGGGGTCTGTTGGGGACGCTGGGAGAGTCTCTGGTGTGAAGTGGCTTAGGTCTGGACTGGTCAGCTGTGGCACCAGCCGGTCCTGCCCACGCTTCAGGATGGCCGGGGGCTGCCCCTGTGGGAGAGTTGCCAAGACTCGGCGATACCAAGGATGGAAGCCAGAGGCTGTGGCGAGGGAGAGCCAAGCATATTCCCAGCACCAGGGCCACTGCTGGCACGTCGTAGACATCCAATAAATATTTTTGGAAGGAGTGAATGGTTTGATGTCCCTCTCCATCCCTGCCAGCCCCCTGCCCAAGGTGTGTGTGTGGTTGGGCCCGACTCTAGAACTGGTATGTGTGTGATGGTCAGGCAGGCATGAGCGGGGTGGGCTCTGCTGAGGCTTGGCTGCCTGAGGAGGTAGCTGTGCAGGAGAGAGCCAAACACGCTGCTTCTATTCCTGTCTGGGGCATGTCTGAAGTGGGCTGGCTGTCTTGACTGGCTTGGATCCTTATCAGTCTGGTGTTGCAGAAGAGAGAATGGATGGAATATTCCACGTGGTCTCACTTTCCTTTCTGAACCACCCTTGCTGAAGCCCGGGTCTGTGTGTGCTCAGAGATCCATTTGCCCCAGGCTAGGAGCACAGCACTCCCCACACCCAGTTCTTGCCAGGGGTGTTTTCTCTCTTCCCTTCTCCAAGTCAGTTTAGTGTCTTCCCACATACCCTCCTCGGCCTCCTGCCCCCAAGAGGTCACCCCTCACGCCCTTCCAAAGCAGGGTTGGCTGAGTCCCTGGTGCTGACAGAAGAGCCCAGGACTCCAGCCCAGGCTGTGACCTCAGATGGTGTCTTCCCAGAGGAGAGGAGGGAACTGGAGATGGTGGTGATGGGTTTGGGGTGCCAGGGTTGGGTAGCTGGGAGGTAGGAAGAAAGGACCCCAACATGGCTCTAGAGAAGGAAGAAGTGCACTTGCCCCCATCTCACAGCCCAGATCCTTCTCTGTATGCAGAGAAGTGTTACCTTCTGGGAGCTGCCACGGTTCAGCCTAGCTTCTGGTCACTGTTCTTTAATCCTCTGTATCTGGAAAATACTCCAGTTGTAGATCTATGGAAGGACATACGAAGGTGATGGGTGGACCCGGAGGGCCGCCCTGACTGTTATGGCTTACTAGGGTAACAGTGCCGATGATGGTTAGCACTCAGCCAGGGCTGCTGCATCTCCGTCCCGTTCTTTGATCACAAAACATGCAGTGTGAAATCACACGGGGTGTTGTACGCCGGGGTTGCTACCACCTACTTGAGCATTCAGCGCTTAGGACCACGGGAAACCAAACCAGGAGGGTTTTCCTGGGCACCCTCCACCCGACACCAGCCCTAGGGGCTGCCCTGACTCTAATGACCTGCCCCTCTCCTGGAACTCCCCTTCCATCCTGCACCGCCCCAGGGAGTGCTTGACTGCCTTGCAGCTCATCAAACCCTGCTTTAACAGGGTGGGGGAGGGGGGCTCAGGAGTCCTTTGCTTTTTTCTCTTTGCCACTTGCCAAATTCTGAAATCAAGTTGAGCAAGCCCACCCACTTCAGGCCTCACTGAGTCCCGTCTTTCATTCCTGGGTTAGAGAAACACTGCCCGCAAGGACAGATCTGTGGAAACACTAGGTCCCTGTGACTCAGGTGCCGGAGGATGCAGTGTCAGCAGATGCTGACGAGATCAGTCCTGCAGGAGCATCTTTACGACAGAACATGTTATTTTCCATAAGTGGCCTGTTTAATGATCAAATCAGTCAAATAGCTGTGCTGGTAGGACTTGGGGTTAAAAATGAGGCCTAATTGCAGCTTTTTTCTCCAGCACCAATTCATGAGAATGCCTGCTCGCTGACCCCAGGTGACTGGGCCTCCCACAAATGGGTGTTTTGGGTCACAAAGGGGGCAGGGTCAAATCCCTCAGGCAAAGAGTGACTGAGGTGTATGACTCACTGACCAGGCCGGGACTGCACGGCATTCGTTCACTAAAGAAGCCTGCTGTGTGCCAGGCATCATGCTCAGATGCTGCCCGAGACACAGCCCCTACCCGAAGAGCTCAAGGACCTTTATGGAAAATCATTTTGATACACACAGGGCTTGGGACCATCTATGTGTTCAACTCTTTAAAAAATGGTTCCCAGCCCCAGTTCTCTTAGCAAGGCTTTCTAATTCATTATCTCATTTAATCTCGCCATGAGTCAGGCAGGGCAGTAACACATGGGAAAGGAGGGTGGGGGTGGGGATAGTGTGACCTGTCCACCAGGTCCTGCTACAAATTGACAGCAGATCCCAGGCCTCGTGTTAGCCCAAGCTGCTTCTACTGTCACATTGCAGCCTTCTGCAAGGATGGGGTGGTACTGTCCTTCTCACTTCTCATTCTCTTCCATTTTAAAATGATAAACCTGGGTCAGAGGATATTTAGGAAGAGGCATTGTCATTAAGTCCAAGACAAGATGGTCAGATTTGTTATCCTAGTGGGTTACAATCCAAAATACTCTGGAGCATGCTGAGATTAAGGTGGTTGCCAAGGGAACAGAAAACAGCCATGAGTAAATAAATCAAGACTTTAAAGGATTTAGATCGGGTCTATGGCCAGGTAAGTGCAGACCTTTGTATTCTTTCCAAGGCCAGGTAAGTGCAGGTCTGCAGTGGGGATCTGTGGCCACGTGGTCACAGATGTGGAAACATCCTGCAAATGCAGCCACGCTGCTTCGTACAGGCGGTGCAGTGGCTGGCATGGGGAGCCAGGTGAGCTTGGTGATGTTGGGGCTTCTGGAACTGCCTGCATCATCCTTGTATTTCTTTGTTAGGAGCAAGTCTGGACCTAAGAAAGATGGTGTAGGTTCTCGGAAAATGGTTGTTTTTTGGCAAGGGACACGAGCTTCAAGTCGTCCGGTAAGGCAGTCGGCCTCATTGAGAGGGTTTGGTGTCCCACTGCCCAGTCCCGGGGAGCTGCCTGACGGAGGGTAGACTGCAGTGACCAGAGGCAGCCGCTCAGCCATGCAATAGCACAGGCCGAGGGAGAGGGCAGGCCCCTCGTGGACTTGGCAGAGAGAAATGGGTGGGAGTGGGGGATGTGAAACCTTTTGTTACTTTTTAGTGGTTTGAATTTAGTAAAGAAATATCTTTGACCTTTAGGCAGCAGGAGGAGTATTGGGGCCAAAAACAGTGTGTTCTCACATATCACTGTTCTTCCTGCATTGTGGCAGGGGCAGTGAGAGAGGGAAATGAATGGACTCCCTTAAGTTATCCCTTAGGCTAAAAAGAGAACAGCCTCTTTTGGGTTGACTGGATTTGGAGGAGGTGTCCTAAACAGGCTGTTCAACAGGGGACTTTTTGTGATGATGACAGCGCTCTATTTCTGTGCTGTCCAGACTATAGCCACTAGCCACATATGGCTATTGAGTATTTAAATGTGGCTTGTACGGCTGAGGAACTGAACTTTATTCAATTTTAATTCATTTAAATAGCCCCACGTAGCTACTGGGCATAACAGCCCCAGGGATGATAGGATGACACTCCTATTGATAAGAAGCTAGAAACATTGTTTCTTTTCCCTTCACCTTCTCCCCTCTGCTCACCACCTCCGGGAGAGCCAGATAGTTCTGGGGTTCAATTCTGGCTTTGTCATTTAAACCATAGGTCCTTGGGCAAGTAACTTATGTAAAGCATGCAGTATAGTGCCTGGCACACAGCAAGCACTCAATAAATGGTAGCTATTGTTGTTTTAATAAACTTGAATGGTTACTTGCAGAGCAATTGTGCCCATGGAAAGGGAAAAAAGGGTTTTTCCCTTGCTTAGCTTAACCCACATAAAGAATTAACCATCTCCAGTGTGAAGCAGGCCTGCTGCAAGTTTAAGGGTTTGAATTGATGTCATAGGTCACATCCTGGGTTTTAATTCCAAGGAAAGAGAACTTTGGAGCAGATGAGGCCTCACGCTGAGCCTCACATCTCCATCCAGGCCTCTGCAGAGCAACTCAGCCCTCACAGGGCAGCAGCTTTGCCTGCACCTCCTCATTCCTTGCATTGCATCAGCTCTCCTCCTCCTCCAAACCCTTGGGGGCCATCTTTTCTCTCTGCGCCGCCTGAGCTATTAGATGTAGCTTGCAGAGGAGCATACCTTCATTCAACAGACATCGACTGAGGACCTATTGTATGCTGGACACGTGGGACAAAGAGACGCTAAAATAGTCCCTGCCCTTTGAAGTTCATAACCTGGTGGGGAAAACAAAAGTGTGCTAAATTCCAAATCTGGGATCAGCATAAGGTGCTTTGGAGAGAGGGATCAGACTGCTGTCCAGTCCTGGGAGATGGGAGATGGGAGAGGCTTGTCAAGGGGGAGGTGGTTGCCCTGCTGAGTGAGGAAGCCCTAGGGACGCAGCCCTACAGGAGGAGCTGGAGGATGCGGGGAGCAGGGTCTGGAGCTGCCCCGAGGAGGCCCATGGGGTGATCTGTTTGTCCACCTGTTGTGCCCCAGGGTGACTACAGTGCAGAGTCTGGGACAGGGTTCACCTGAGCTACACGTTTACCCATGGTCTACAGGAGCCACGAGCAACACATCTACCCACACGGGAGCCATGGTCTGCTGTTCTCCAGGACGCCTTGGTTGTGGGCAGTCCAGGCCTTTGTTAGGGTCCAGAGTCCAGCTGCCATATGGATCTGTCAGAATAGTGGTGATCCCTGTGCCAGCCACTGCGCTGCCTGTATGAGGAAGCATGAAGCAGGGCTGTGTTTGCAGGGTGTTTCCATATTGGCACTCTATCGTGCTTGCCGCAGCACCTAAGAATGGGATGAGGGGGAACCTTGGGGGAGACAGGGGAGGTGGGTGTATGTGCACGAAACTAGAGAAGTGAAGTGCCTGAGCTCAAACCACCGTGGCAGAGCAGAGAATGGAGGCCTCTGGGAGCCCTTGGGCCTTGGCTTCCCCGCTGAGACAGGGCAGGTTTGAGGTGGTACTGCCCGTGTCTGTGTCCACCCCCATCCCCTAGCCGTGTTCTTTTCCTTTCTATTTTGGTTCAGCTTACCTAGAAATGCTGCTAAAAATATGGGAGACATCCTCAGGCATATTATTGATTTTGCTTTTGAAAAACATGGTGTTCACCGAGTGTCCCCATTTCTCTTATGGTCTGCAGAGGAGATGAACACTGGGGGCTCTGGCAGGTGACAGCAGGGGCTGGAAAGCTGGGCAGTGTTGATGTGCTCCGAGTGGAGGCACGGGTGGGGTTGGTCATCAGCACCTGGGGTGCTGGTGTCACTGCATGAGAACTCAACATCTGTCCTATGGACTAGTTTCTTTGTCTTCCTAGTATTCCCTTCCCGTTGTCTCTGTTTAAAATGCCAATTTCCGTGGGACGTGGAACTCCTAAAGTCCCACATCCAGCAGTGAGGTGTCTCCAGGAGCAGTGAAGGGATGGGGTGGGGGTTGGGGTAGGAGTGGATTCTCCAGAGGCCACAAGCCAGACGGGTGGGGCCTGGTGGGGCAGACTGGTCCTCCAAGCGAGCTGTGAAAGCAGGCAGGCCTGACCTCCAGGCCTGGTGTTGGGAGGAAGGGGCTGATTTTACAGCCTGGGGTCTCCCACCTGGAATTCTTCAGTTCCCAGGCTCCAGAAGGCACAGTGGGCACCTGCAGAGCTGCAGAGAGGACCCTCATGGTATCGGGAGGCCCGCATCTCTCAATGCCCTCCATCAGGCACAGCGCCACCCCAACCACCACATCCATTGTCTGCTGCAAGGATCCCTGCCTGGGCCTTGGAGAGAGAGTCGCGTTTCTCCACCTGGCAGCTACAGAGAGGCCACAGAGAAAAAAGCCTATTTAATGTTCTTCTACTACTTGTGACTTTTAAAATAACTTTTCCTCTCAGGCCTCTGTTTTTTTGTCTGTCAAATGTACACCCTCAGGCACGTTCTCACTGGGGCCCAGGTTTTTACTTCCCTGTCGTCACACACTATTTATGTCTGAGGGTCTCAGTCCCAGGGCGGTGCAGTGGAACACAAGCTGGGCCACGGTGCTGGGTCACGGTGCCGTGTTCCCGTCTGTGCTCTGCTACTTAGAGCTGTGAGTGTTGGAGGAAGCCACTCTGTGTTTCAATTTTATTTTCCCGTCTATAAAATGGGATAAAACCCACACAAGGTAGGGTGCACATGGTTATTGGAAGGTTCCCACGAGATCATAACATGGAAAAGGGCTTTGTAAAAGGCAAAGTTATGTCCGAGTAAGGGACATTATCATTAAATGGCAGCTGGAAGCTGTAATTTGGTTCTGCCCTCTCACGCCCGCTGCTACTCCAGACGTCGTAAGTTGCTCTTTTATGGGATATCTCTGGCTTGACTGCGGGTTCCGTTCTGAGGAGGTGGGGTCAGCAGGGGCCTGATGTCTTCTTCCTTTCCCTCTGGTCACTCTAGTGATATAACCCAGGCCATATAGTCAGGCAGACTTTGGCGAAACTGTCAGCGAGGGCAGCTCCTCGATTCGGCCCCTTTGACTATTGTCTCCAGTCCTGAAACCCTCGCCCAGGGCCGCTCCGCCGCCGGGCTCCGGCGCTCAGCCCATGTCACCCGGGGAAAGGCCGGCGCCTCCGTCCGACCCTCTTTCCTGTCGCTGGGGGCGGTTTGTGGGCCTGGCCTTGGGATTAGGAAAATAGGGATGGTGCTATAACGGCCGAATGCAGGCCTCAGGGAATCCCGAAAGGGGGAATGTCTGGGTCGGCGGATCGGGGGGCTTGAGAGGGCCCGCTCCGTGGGACGTTCAGGCCCCGGAACCGGCCCCCGCATGGTCGCCGCTCCGGCCCGGGCGGGCGCAGCGCTGGCAGCCCCGTTTTCCGCCAGCCGGGCTGCCGGAGAGTTAGACCTCCCAGCCTCACGGGGCTGCTGTGCGGCTGCGACGACGCCGGCGACTGCGGCGCTGCAGCGGAGACGGAAGGCTCGGGAGGCGGCGCCATGTGAGTGCGCGCGGGGCCGCGCTGGGGCCGCGGCGGGAGGTTACCGTATTTACCGAGGCCAGAGCCGGACCCTCGGGGGCGGGTCACTGCGGGCGTGCTACCGTATTTGCCGGGTCCCGCGCAGGTCCTTTCCGGGAGTGGGAGCGCCGGGACTTAATTACGTATTTATCCAGGGTTGCGTGGCTCCGCGGGGGGGCGCTGCGGCCGTGGGGGGTGGGCTGCATTCATTCCCTCTGGGAGCTGGGGCTTGCAGTCGGGCGGGGTGGGTTGCGGCAGCAGGGTGGAGGCCTACGTATTTTCGTGGGGGTGGGGTTGCGACGCAGAGTTTACCATATTTCTCCAGGGTTGCTCCGGCCGCAGAAGTTGGCAAGGTTGTGTGTAAGGTCGGGTGGGGTGGGGTCAGCTCTCCCGATTAATGCAGCTATTTGATAAGAGCAACGTCGCGGGACGCTTGCCGTCTTTATGGGGGCGGGGAGAAGGGGCGCGGGTGTCGCTGCGGGAGAGTTACCGTATTTGCGTTGAGCAGCGCAGACTGTAGAGCAAAGAGCTGCGGCCGGAGACCGGAGGAGCAGGGGCTCAGCTGGGCTGTGAGTGTGGCATGGGAGGAAAGAACTTGGGGGAGAGACGGGGGGCCTTTCGGCGTGCAGGCGGGGCCTCAGTCAGGGGTATAGCTGGGGAGAGTGAGGAGGCTGCCCAGTCACAGGGCCGGGCTGAGATTGGCCAAGGGGACTTTGATGATCTGTCTTTGCAGATGTCAGTGCAGCTGCCTGTGGAAAAGACTTGTGGGTGGGGTCTCTTGCAAGTAGGACTTGTCTCCTTCCCCAGGGTCAGTTCCACCCCGGCCTCGAGGGTACGGAAGACAGAGGAGGTGGCCCTGAGACCCCACTCTGCAGATAGGTTGACTGAGGCTGGAAGTGAAGAGAGGCCTTCGGGGAGGTCCAGTGGAATATTCAGCCGGCTTCCCTGATGGGGTTGGGGAGAATGGATGAGGCAGGCCTTAGGGCCCTGCAGGAGCCCAAGTTTTGGTGGGGGTCGTGGGAGTGGTGGCAGTAGACAGTGCATCTACAGGAGAAGTGGCCCTTTGGAATGCATGGCTCTGTGACGGCTGGGATGGTGGCAGTGGGGGGTGTGTGTGTGTTTTGAGGAGTGTTTAGTTGTTGAGCAGCTAGTACATTGAAAAGAGCTTTCAACAGTGAGACAGGAGACTTAAGGCCTAGTCCAGGCTCACCTTGCTCTGTGACCTTGGCAAGTATGTTGACCTCACTGAGCCTCAGTTTCCCCATCTTTAAAGTGGGGCTCAATAACCCTGCTCCGCCCCTTTCTCAGGGCTGTTGTGAGGACAATGGGAAACAATTTAAGAGGAACACAGTGTCCTGGGAAGAGGATCCTTTGGAGAAGCAGCATGAAGGGAGCTGGGTTTGGGGGTGTTGGCTGGGCACTGAGGGTGCTGCTCAGCCTTGGGCCAGGCTTTGCTGTGAGGATACCAAGAGGAATCACGCTGAGACCAGTCCCCCTGGGAGCCCACACCCTGGTTCAGTGACTTGGAAACCTTTTGAACACATGCCTCATTTTGATAAACAAAGAGCTGCCGCCTTTAATGTTTAACCGAGGTCACTTTCAAGTTTACAGGGTTGTGTTTTTTTTCCTGTTTTAAGCTTCACAAAAATATCTTTAAATCACTGATAATGCCACCCTTTTCTCCAAGTTTGGGGTGCACTTCCCTACCTCCCCCTGTCCTTGAGATCTGGTTGGAGGGATAAGACATATCTAGACGAAGGTAACTGAAAATCCTAGCTGAAACTGAAACTGAAAATCCTAACTGAAACTCATCACCATCTGTCTAGTGTCTTGTGTGGCTGGCTGGCATGGTGCTAGGTGCTGGGGTTGAAAGAAGGCAGCTCTGTCCTTAGGGTGCTGGGAGTCGGGGGACAGAGGTGGCATGACTGACCCTCGTGCAGTATGATCAGTGAGAGCCACATGGTTGTGTCACACGGTGTTTAAGCCCGGGGTGGAAAGGTCAGGGAAGGCTTCTAGGAGAAGGTGCCCTTGGGAAGGGACTGGAAGGAGTGTAGGCCGTGCTTAAAAGGCAGTGGAGGAAGAGGAACACCAATTCCCAGCAGGGGAACTTGAGCTTGAACAAAACGGGGCGAAAGGTGGAGGTTGTGGGAGGTGAGTGTCCCTGCCAGGCTGGGGGTTGGCTAACCCTCGTGTTCCCCGACCCCTCTCTCTCCACCCCCCACCCCCGCCCCCGCTTCTGTCTCCCTAGGGACTGGTGATTGCAGCTGGAAGTGCCCATGACCGAGCTGGCGTCCTCCGGGGGCGGGTCCCCTGCGGGGGACGGGGAGGAGGGTCTGGGGGACGAGCGAGGCCTGGTCATCCACCACCCTGCAGAGGAGCAGCCCTACCGCTGCCCGCTGTGCGGCCAGACCTTCTCGCAGCAGCCCAGCCTGGTGCGGCACCAGAAGGCGCACGCCGGAGCGGGCCGCGCGGCTGCCTTCGTGTGTCCCGAGTGCGGCAAGGCCTTCAGCGTCAAGCACAACCTCGAGGTGCACCAGCGCACGCACACCGGGGAGCGGCCCTTCCCCTGCCCCGAGTGCGGCCGCTGCTTCAGCCTCAAGCAGAACCTGCTCACGCACCAGCGCATCCACAGCGGCGAGAAGCCGCACCAGTGCGCGCAGTGCGGCCGCTGCTTCCGCGAGCCGCGCTTCCTGCTCAACCACCAGCGCACCCACGCGCGCATGCCCGCGCCGCACCCGCGCCGCCCCGGCGTCTTCGGGGAGCGGCGGCCCTACTTCTGCCCCCGCTGCGGCAAGAGCTTCGCGCGCGAGGGCTCGCTCAAGACCCATCAGCGCAGCCACGGCCACGGGCCCGAGGGCCAGGCGGCCCACTTAGGACGCGTGCTATGATGCGCCCGGGGCCTGCTGCCGACGGCTGCTTCCCGCCCCGCACGTGCGTCCCCGACCCCTGGAGATGGCCCTGGGCCGCAGCTCCCTCTCTAGATGGGATCCCGGGAGAGGGGCAGCGCTGGCTTGGGCTCTTGAAGGTGTGGGCCGCCGCCAGGCTCCGGCCGCCCGCTCGCGTTCCTCCCTCGGGACCCTCTGGCTGGCTGCGCACAGCTGCTTCCGGCTCCTGCCATGGTTCTCCTTCTCTGGCCCATCCGGCCTAGAGCAGGTGAGACCTGCGGGGCTGGCCAGAGCCCCTCTCAGGGCTGGGAGTGGTGGGGGTGGAGTGCGTGGTGTTGATTCTTGATGGCAGGTGGGGCGGTCTGGGTACCGGGCTGTAGGTTTCTCTGTGATGAGCTGCTTACCGGATCTTCATCCCCAGAATGTCAGAGTTGAAAGAGACTTGGAGAGGCCACTTTCCACAAACCCCACGCCCAACCTCAGCCCCTAGGCCTCCTGGCTCCTGTACACACTCTCTGCTGTCCTTGAGATGTCATTTCACTTCATGTTTCAGTTTACTCATCTGTAAGTTGGGGATATAGATGAGGGACTCTTCCTCGCTGGGATATATTGCAGCTACTGGATGAGAGAGGGTGAGGTCACTGGTGCACAGAGCCTTAGTTGATTCTGCCACACCATGTGCCACTGACTGTGCCGGGCTGGGCTCTCCCAGAGACACACATGAGGACCGCAGGCCCTGACACGGGGTGCTCACACTCGGTGTGTGACGCGGGGCCAACCTACAAAGTGCTCTGGGGTGAGACCGAGGAGGGTGACTGGTTTCTCTTCGTCACCCAGGGGAGTTTGATGGCTTTGAACCAGGTCATGGGGACAAATAAAATTGTTCTAGGAAGAGCAAGTGTGTAGAAGGGTGTTTTCAAGGGAGGGGGGGTCCTGATAGTTCAGTGACTGTCTCCAGGTGTCCCAAGGGGAGGTTTGCCCTACAAAGGACTTCGTGGTCAGGGGGTGGGGACACTGAGATTTTTAATGAGATGAGTGCTATGATCTCAGACTTATGCTTTAGGAGGAGAATCAGAGGCACTGTGAGGACAGACTGATGTGGGAAGAGCTGGAGCCTCGAGGGGCTTGGGTCATCTGGGCAAGAGAACATAAGGCCCCCAGCTAAGAGGCCTGGCCAAGGTCTGGCAGTGAGAAAGGGGGCAGCCAGGACTCTGCTCCAGGACCTCTGGTTCCAAGCTGGCGCTCTGAGGCACGGGCCTCTTCAGCCTTTTGGCAGATGAGGAAACAGGTTTGCCAAGCTTGCCTACACCACAGTTGGTACTTAGGGGTACAACAGGTGGAAGCCAGGGCTTTGTTTTGGATTCTGAATCCCAGAACCTTTTAGCTTCACTGCTTAAAAAGTGGACGATGGAGCAGGGAGGATTTGGGGCCATGTGATAGGAGCTGGGGCAGGGGTGTTAGGGGTGGTACGGGTGTTTGAAGGGGACATGGCATCCCTGGGAGTGGTTTGGGAGGAAGGGAGCTGGGGCTTCGAGGGGACCTGCACATTCAGTCCTGTGCTGGGTGCTGGAGACTCGTCCCTCCCCACTGCCCCCTCTGCCCATCCTCAGTGCTATGTGGCTATGGCTCCTCGGAGACTGTCCTCTGCCTACCACTCCCAGGTGCTGTAGACTAGCATTGGTGGCAAAGATGAAATTAAACAGGGGCTTCGGACACCTGGAGTCAGTCACCAAAATGCCCTGAACCCAAGGTGTCTCATCTGTAAATGGGATTCGTAATCCTTGCAGTGCTTGGTAGGGGACAAAGAGGATTCATTCAAACCCTAGGACAGATTCAGGGTAGGCCAGCTGATCGCTCCCTCCTAGCCCCAGAGGGGTGGCTGGGCAGGGCCATGTCACGGCTCCACACCTGATCCTGATCTCTTTGTTTCTGTCGACAGTTGCAGAGTGGGCAGGATCTTAAGACCCGATAGGTGCAGAACCCATCTGGACACGGAGACCAGGAATGGAGTTCCATGGAGGCCTGGCTGGCACTGCACCCGGGCATGAGGACACATCCAGTAAGAAGACCTGCCTCAAGAGGTGCACTGCGGTGACCAGTGGAGGTGACTGGTTGGAGCCTGGAATTGGAAGCAGATTCCAAGCTCTGGTGGACAAACTCTCCAGGCCTGGTGGGAATCACAGCTGGGGCAGACCTCATCCTGGCTGCCTGGCCACAGGCCCCCACTCTCTGCCACTGGTGGTAGGACGATGCCTGTGTGGAGAGCTGGCTTCTCTGCTCCCGCCTGGTCCACCACTTGGCTAGAGTTCAGAGACAGGAAGTGATTGGTCTAAGCTAACACAGCAAGTTGGTGGCAGACCTGGTTCTAGAGGCAAAACCTTCTTCCAGATGTGAATGAAACCTGCAGGCTTCATTTTCCTTTCTGAGCAGTGCTTCTTAGCTCTTTGGAGACACGAAGCCCTTGGAAAATCTGATGAAGGTTACGGACCTTCCCTAGGAAAACAGATAACTGACGTAGACTCAAAAACCCCAAGCAATTTCAGGAGCCACTGGACTCCCTGAATGAAACCCATCCCTGGACTCCAGGCTAAGAACCTCAGCCCTGGGGACTTCACCTGCTGCCCTTTCCTTACCTGTCACACATTGAGCCCCGAGTCAAGGCCACTGTACAAGTAGTGCCCCTCCCTCCCCCTGGCCAAGCCTCCTTCCCTTGTTCAGGAATAAAGAATTCCGAGGAGCCCTTTTTAGTCATTCCCTTCTCCCAGACCTAACGAATGGTGCGTCAGGTTTCTGGAGCCTCATTTCCCTTCCCCAGACATTGGCAGAGGTCCCTTGGGCTAGATTTTCTCTTCTGGTTTTGTTTCTTGTTCTGCCTGACTGGCCGCTGGCTTCCACAAAGGAGCCCTTTGCTCCTGGCCTGGGCTCTGATTTCACTGTGTGGTCTCAGGGGAAGCTGGACTGCTGTGGACGCTGGTGGGAGCTTGAGTCTGGTCTGAGTCTGCCCCAGGGAGAAAGAATCCTGCTTCCACCAACCAAGCCCAGTCAGCGGTTCCTCCCAGCTGGCCAAGTGTTCAGCCCAGTGGGCTGGGGAGGAAGAGGATGAGGGCCTCGCTCCTGGTGCCTGTGGCTCTGGGCAGGGTGAGAGGTCGGTGGAGGATCTTTCTGTGTGTTCTCTGAGTATGCAGCAGTGCAGTTGAAGGGAACAGGGCCCAGGCAGGCAGCAGGGCAAGGACTCCTCCCATCTTCACACCTGAACCAGTCAGCCTGGAAGCTACAAGTTCTCACCTGCCTCCCCAGAATGAACATCAGAAAAGGCAAAACTGACCAGGGCTGGGATGGGTTTGGGTCAGCGTGGTTGGAGGGCAGCCTGTGGATCCCTGCACTGGAGTCTTGCTGTCTTCGATGCAGGTTGGATCATACATTGTTACCTCCTACTGTATGCCTCACCCTGGAATAGCAGAATGCTCAGGGGGAGATCCGAGAACGAGAAGGTGCTCCCAGCCCCAGGAGCTTCCAGTCTGGCTCTGATCCTTGGCCGACCTAGAGGAAACCTCCACACACGCCCCTTTTGTGCTAATGGTGCAGTTTGTGTCCCCCTCTGCCCATCACTGTGCTGTGCTTGTTCCTGCCTCTGTGCCTTCCCCTATACTGCTCGGACATGTCCCCTTTCCTCTCCTCTACCCAGCTAAGCCCTTCTGATCCACGGGGCCCGGCTTCCCAAACCACCCAGCCCACATTCCTCCTTCCTGCTCCGAACAGGTCCGGTGTGAGCCCCTGCCCCCGAACTGCGTGCTGTCCCATGGACGCTCCAGTCTCTTCCGTGTGTGTCTTGAGTCCCTAACTAGACAGTTAGCTCCCTGAGGGCAAGGGACTGTCATTTCCTCTTGAGTCCTACCAGGGTCTAGCACAGGACTGGGCTCCTAACTCTCAGGAAACACTTGTCGGCTGACTGGTGCCTCAAGCGCTGGAGCTTGTCGGTGGCCGGTAATGGGCAGTGCACGTGGGGAGAGGGTATGTGAGTTAACTCAAGGGTGCCTTTTCTTGGGCTGTGGGCTGGCTCCCCTGGGTCAAAAGTGGATGTCGGAGGCCTCAGGCTCTTACCTCCTTGGGGCAGTGGGAGCATCAGGGACCCCCACCCCCACCCCGGCTCTGCAGGAGTGCACGGAAGTGGTCGTCCAGCCTGGATATTTCTACAGGTTGCTGACTCCTGCGGGAGCTGACTGAGTGGAATAAATGTTCTCTCAACATCAGCTTGTGTAAGGAGTGGTCATTTGGGGCTTAGCGGGGAGCAGGGTGGTGGCCTCTGTCTCTGCCTCCATCATCTCTTGAGGAATTATGTTTCAAGGTTGCCTGGTGACCAAAGACCCTAGAAGACACACATCAGAGCCTCAGTGACGAGCTATTGTAGGCTTCTGGCACCTGCACAGTGACTGCCCTTTGCACCTGACTCACACATATAGGGGCTGCAGCCCTTGCTGCCTGCGCAGCCCACGGTGAGGCCAGACTTGCCGAGAAGCGTCGGACGGTTCCCTCAGTGCTTGAGCAGTGGACGGCTAAGAGTGCTTGAGTCGGGAGACCAGGCCCCTGTGCTGGTCTGTCTCCAATGGGAGGTCTCGGCCAGGCACATGCCTCTCCTGAGGTTAGTCCCCTTCCCTGCTCCTCTTCCTTATGGCGTTGTGAGAAGCAAACAAGTAGATATGGAAAGGACGCGAGTGCACAGCGTGGCACAGAGACTCTACCATTGCTCTTTGGGCCTCCCCACCGAGTAGGACCTGGCTGAAGACCACCTCTCGCAGAGCGCTCTGGACAGCTGACCTTCTGTCCTGCCCGCCGCCGGGTGGCCGTGAGACCTGGGTAAGTAACTTCCTTCCCGTCAATGGAATGCCTGGCTGGAGTGCGGTGGGCTCGCTTTGGCACCGTGACCCTGTGCTGCGTCGTCTGACTCTGACTTCTTCTATGGCCTCTGTCAGCCAGGAGGGTCCTGTGAGTAAGGAACTTAGGGACTGCACCTTTGAAACGTGGGTGGGTGATGTTGGGAGTGAATCAGGCAGGGTTCTGTGTTCAACTCAGATTTCAAAAAAGGAAATGATGAGCTCGTGTAAGTGAAAAGTACAGTGACTCGATGGTCACACGGACCCAGCCAGGAAGAAGCCGGCAGCTCAGCCTTCTGCCTGGCAGCTTCCAGTCCTTCTCTAATGGATCTGAGACAGCGGAGGGTCCTACTCTTGTTGGCCCGAATCGGGTCAGTGCCCGTTACTAGACCCGTCTCAGTGGCCAGGGGAGTGCAGGGTTCTGCAAGGCCTTGTCACACGCGCACCTATGGCCAAGGGGGCTCAGCTGCACCTAGAGTCCATGTGCTGGGAGTGGGAAGGTTTTGTTCAGCAGAGGAAAGCCAGAGATGAGAAGATGGGTGGATGGACTCCAGGCAGCAGACCCACACTCTTGCTATGGGGACTGGGTGGAGGTGGAGCAGGGAGAAGCCGGGCCAGCAGCGTTGGTGTCACCTGGGAGTTGTTAACGCACAATGGCAATTCCCACCCCAGACTCCAGTCAGAAACTGCATGTGCTCAAGATCCCAGGCGGACAGCATCTGCTGTCAGACCCAGCGCCACTTTGCCATTGCCCTCCAAGGAGGGCCTTTGACTCAGACATTCCATTGGCCTTGCTGCTTGCAGGGAGGACAATGACGGAGTTTCCTTTTAGGCGAGCTGGTAGAGACAAGAGGCTGCTGCCTTCCCCAGGGCCCAGATACTAGCCACCGCCACCCCCACCCTCCAGGACTGGCGCACACATCAGCGGGGCTCATCCTGACCTGGCCTGCCCAGCCTGGCTGTATAGGAATTTCCTGGAGTACAGACGCAGTACAGGAGGGAAACACTAAGGGAAGGGCCAGTCCTGGGCACAGAAGCAGGTGGCTCACACAGCATGGCTCCTCCACCCGCTGTCTGGGACCCTCCCCTGGTTCCCATCTCCACCCTCCTTAAGGCCTCCTTAGCTTTTTTTTTTTTTTTTTTTTTTGAGATGGAGTCTCACTTTGTCACCCAGGCTGGAGTGCAGTGGCACTATGTCAGCTCACTGCAACCTCTGCCTTCCGGGTTCAAGTGATTATCCTACCTCAGCCTCCCGAGTAGCTGGGATTACAGGTACATGCTACCACACCTGGCTAATTTTTGTACTTTCAGTAGAGATGGAGTTTTTCCATGTTAGTCAGGCTGGTCTCGAACTCCTGACCTCAGGTGATTCACCTACTTCTGCCTCCCAAAGTGCTGGGATTACAGGCGTGAGCCACAGTGCCCAAACCTCCTTAACATCTGAGCCTGACCTTTCTCATCATGCCCATGGTGGAGACACCTGCTGTGATGCTCTCAGAGCCCCAGCCCAGCCACCTTCCAGCGGTTGTGAGTGTGGGCCGCTGATGGCCTACAGCTGCCCAGCCTGGGGGCTGCCCCCTGGCAAATGACTGCCCACACAAAGGTATCAGACTGAAGCTGCTCTCCTGGGGGAACATTGCTGGCTTCTTTCTCTGCCCTGTGCTGCTTCCGGCCACTCTCCCTCTCTAGAACCCTTCCCTGACAATTCTCACCTTCCCTGCCTGAACAAGAATCCTTGTCTCAGGCTCTGCTTCTAGGATCCCCACCCTAAGGCAAGGTCTTTGAAGAACACAAGCTGAAGCATCTTGCACACAGTAGATCATGACCTGCCCCTTTCTTTGGCCTTTCTGTGTGACACTGGTTACCTCTGGGCCTTCAGTGAGCTGCTGCTGGATGAATGGACTGGAGGTGACCATCTCCTTGGTGAGAGGCCAGGCCAGAGGACCTAAATGCTGGTGACCCTCACCAGCTGTGCTGAAGCCCCTCTCCACTGGAAACAAGGGACAAGAGTCAAATTCACAGGTCAAGGGTTGGGGTCTAGTCTGACCACATGTCTTTGGCCAAGGTCCTTACCATCTCGAGGCTCAGTTTCTGATACATGAAATGAATGGGGTGGACTGGCCGACCTCAGGTTCTTCTTGGGTGCTTCCCCGACTGCTTGTGCAGGCCTCTTTTGGGTGGTGACCCCCCAGCTCGGCTGAGTGGCCAGGCCTCACGGGGCAGGCTGGAGAGGTCCCTGGGACGCTGCTCCTGCTCCTCTAGGCTTGCCACCATTCCTGTGACTCGGGTTTTGCTCTGCGCTAGGCTACCACCATCTCTGCTCTGTACAGACGCTTGGTGAACTGAAACTGGATTTTTTTTCTTTAAGCAGGAGAACTGCAGTTGCTAGCAGTTTCTAGCAGCAGACACAGAAAGTCACCTTGGAGCAGAACTTCTTTGTTTCTGGAAGGTCATCAGGCCCTTGCAGTTAAACCAACACTAAACAAATACACACTGCTACTCTTGCACTGGCCTTGGACTTGGAAAGCATCTCAAACACAGACACTTCAGGCTGGTGTGTTTGCTCTCCCGTTTCATAACAATCACTGTCAAAAGGCTGTTGTAAGGCAGAGCATCAGGGACAGGGGCCTCTGGGGTGTGGGAAGGACCTGAAAATCTCTCAGTGGGGAGGGGCTGAGCTGGTCCTTCCCCTGGCACATGGAAACCTGCTGGGGGATGACAGGGTCCCCTGAGATGGGGTTTAAAGCATGTGGGTTCAAGAGAATCTGAGTTTATAGGAGTAGTGAAAACTGTGTCCATGTGTGGGGCAAGAGAGTCTTCTGGAGAGGGTGACATGATGGTGCACAGGCGTTCTGAGAGGTGGGGGAGGGACTGGCTGATGGACAGAGGTGACAGCTTCCGCTGCACATGAGTGCTCTCAGAAATTACGGAGCAGGAGGAAGCGTATGGGGCTTCCAGAGGGAAAATGGACTACATATAGTCCCAGGGACTGCGGAGGATTCCGTCTTTATGACATCGTGAGAACCGTATTTCAGGCTGCCAAGGCGATGCACTGGCTGCTGCTTTTCCCACCTCTGGCCTGGTGCTCACTCATGGGGTCTGCTGTGCATGGCCAATGCCTGTTCTTCTCCTTTCTGCCACTGCTCTTGGCTTTAACAGGGTTCAGGACATGCCACCCCAAAATATAGCATCTTGGCATCAAGAAAATGGCAGAAGCAGGAAGGCCACGTTGCCCTTCCCCTCGCCTGTCTCCCCCGAAGCAGGCCATAGAAGAATTCTCGGATCTTCCTCTAAAGCAGGTCATAAGACCCTCATTCCAGAAGCATCCTCCCTATCCCTGGAGAAAAGGAGTGCCCTACAGAGACCCCAGGAAGAATCTGAACAAACAGGCTTTGCTAAGTCCCCCAGTTTATTAGCATAAGTCACACCCTCTTGTCCTCCAATCACACATCTGCACGACTGTGCATGAAGACAGTTTCTCCTGTTTCTTTGGGTCTTTATTTCTTTTTTTCTTTTTTTTTTTTTTGAGACGGAGTTTCACTGTTGTTGCCCAGGTTGGAGTGCAATGGCTCGATCTCAACTCACTGCAACCTCCGCCTCCTGGGTTCAAGCGATTCTCCTGCCTCAGCCTCCTGAGTAGCTGGGATTACAGGCGTGCGCCACCACGCCTGGCTACTTTTTTGTGTTTTTAATAGAGACGGGGTTTCACCATGTTGGCCAGGCTGGTCTTGAACTCCTGACCTCAGATGATCTGCCCACCTCGGCCTCCCAAAGTGCTGGGATTACAGGCGTGAGCCACCACGCCCGGCTGGGTCTTTATTTCTGAAGTTCCTGTGTCACATGAAATTTATATTAAATACATTTGTATGCTGTTCCCTTGTTGACCTGGCTTTTGTTACGGGGGTCTCAGCCATGAACCATTTTTTTTCTTTTTTAAGACAGAGTCTCACTCTGTCACCCAGGCTGGAGTGCAGTGGTGTGATCTCGGCTCACTGCAACCTCTGCCTCCTGGGTTCAAGTGATTCTCCTGCCTCAGCCTCCTGAGTAGCTGGGATTACAGGTGCCTGCCACCACGCCTGGCTAATTTTTGTATTCTTAGTAGAGGTGGGGTTTCACCATGTTGGCCAGGCTGGTCTCGAACTCCTGACCTCAAGTGATCCACCGCCTCAGCCTCCCACAGTGCTGGGATTACAGGCGTGGGCCACCGCACCTAGCAGCCGTGAACCTCTCCATAGGAATTGCCTTCTTCTTCCTCTAGCTTCCTCAGCACTCTGCTTTCTGCAGGTGCCTCTCCTTATGCCGCATGCGGACCCCGAGGGAGGTTGTACTGTGGTTGCTCACAGTCTTGTTTAGGGAATCTCTTAGGCAGAATCCTTTCTCCTGGCTCTGCTTGTGTCATCTGTGAGCCTCGAGGTGGCTTCCCTAGGCTGGGGCACATCCCCTGGTCCCATAGCTATGGCCCGAGTGACAGAGGTCCCAAGCATCAATCCCAGGGACTTATTCACAAGGGCATGGTGAGCGTTAGTCTCAGAGGGGGTGTCTATGGACAGGCCTGGGGTGCTCTCCGGCTTGCCTGGCTACTACTCTGTGGTTTCTCCCTGCTCAGAGCCCATACTTTGCCGTGCAAACTTGTCATTTGGTAAATTATCACGCATGCCCTGTGTTCCCTTTTCTCTCATTTTCTTGAGATTAGTTTCTCATGTGTTTTTGGCTTGATCTCCAATCAATGACAAATCATATTTGTGCAACATTTTCTGGTTCACTTTCACAGGTGTAACTTGAGGGCGTGGATGTGATCTTGCAGGCCCGAGGCTCCCAGTGTCTGACATGGGGAGCTCCCGATGAAGAGATGGCTGGCCTGGTTGCATGAAGGTTGTCTTGATGGGATTCTTGTTCTGGACATAGAGCTGGACCCTTGGACAACCAAAATATCACTTCTGGAGCTCCTGGGGTTCCATACTGCCTCCCCCTGGTGGGTAGGTATTTATAGTGAGTTCTCCCTCATGCCTGGAGAGTATTATAAAATGGGACTGTTTTCTTGGCCATTGTCGGAGCATATTCAGGACATTTTACAATAAGAGAAAATCAAGAAACAGGGCCAGTTAATATGGCGGTGCTATTTTAGGCAATAAGGCAAGTCGCAACAGATACTACACATCACTGGTAGGTCACATTCTGTGAACGCAATGCAATAGAAGTCATTCACAAAAGACAGCAAATGAAAACTTGTATACATTCAGGGTTTTTTTCTTTCTTTTTCTTTTCTTTTTTTTTTTTTTTTTTTGAGATAGGGTCTCACTCTGCCGCCCAGGCTGGAGTGGTATAGTGGTGTCATCATGGCTCACTGCAGCCCCAAACTCCTGGGCTCAAGGGATCCTCCTACCTCAGCCTCCCAAGTAGCTAAGACTACAGGCATGTGCCACTATGCCCGGCTAATTAAAACTTTTTTTTTTTTCCTGTAGAGACAGGTTCTCACTTTGTTGCCCAGGCTGGCACATTCAGGGATTTCAAAAACACATTTATTAATAATTCAAATCAAAGAAAAAATTGTGATGGAAATAATGAAATATTTATGAATTAATGACTACTGTGAAATGCTACACTTCAAAACTTGTGGATACAACTGAAATCAACTAGAGGAAATGTTTAGCTTTAAATGTATTCATCAGAAAAGAAGACGTTTTGAAAATCAAAAAGTCAAGAGTTCAATTTAAGGCCAGGCATGGTGGGATGGTTCACACCTGTAATCCCAGCACTTCGGGAGGCCAAGGCAGGAGGATTGCTTGAATCCAGGAGTTTGAGACCAGCCTGAGCAACGTAGCGAGATCCCATCTCTAAAAAAATTTTTTTTAAAATTAGCTGGGCATGGTGGCATGCACCTGTAGTCCTAGCTACTTGGAAGATCCCTTGAGCCCAGGAGTTCGAGGCTATGTTTGCACCACCTCACTCTGGCCTGGATGACAGAGTGAGATGCTGTCTCTTTAAAAAAAAATTCAACTTAAGAAGTTAGAAAAATAATGGAATATATAGCCAAAGAAGGAAAAAAATAAGGATAAAAATTAATGGACTACAAAACAAAAATAATATTAAAGAGACTCAGTAAAACCAAAACCCGTTCTTTGAAAAGACAAATAAAACAGACAAACCTCTGCAAAAAGTAAAAAAAAGAGAGAAGTCAGTCATAAACAATGCTAGGAATGAAAAGAAGATGATTACCATGGATACAATAGAGATTTTGAAAAATCATGATAAAATACTGTGAACAATTTATGACTATTTTACATTTATATGAAATGGATTATTTTCTAGAAAAATATAAATTACTAAAAGAAACTTAAACCAATCTGAATATACCTATAAGCATTAGAGTACCTGAATCAGTGGTCAAAAATATAACCTTCATTCCCTTAAGTTAATTAAGATAGGAGGCCCAGATAGTTTTACTGAGGAGGTTTGTCCACCTTTAATGAAAAGATAAGCTCTCACATACAAACAGTTCCAGCGAGTAGGGGGAAAAACACATCCAAACTCATTTAATGAGGTAGATTAGTAAAAGTTGAAGACGAAACCAGAGCAGAACAGCACCATGTAGAGAAATTTTCAGCCAGTCTCACTTAGGAACAGAATTGTACGAATCCAAAATAAAATATTAGCAGATTAAACCCAGAAATGTATTTAAAAGTATAGCATGGCTGGGCATGGTGGCTCACGCCTGTAATCCCAGCACATTGGGAGGCTGAAGAGGGCGGATCCCTTGAGGTCAGGAGTTGGAGACCAGCCTGGCTATCGTGGCGAAACCCTGTCTCTACTAAAAATACAAAAATTAGCTGGGCATGGTGGTGCGTGCTTGTAGTCCTAGCTACTTGGGAGGCTGAGGCAGGAGAATCGCTTGAACCTGGGAGGCGGAGGTTGCAGTGAGCCAAGATCGCGCCACTGTACTCCAGCCTGGGCAACAGAGCGACACCCTGTCTCAAAAAAAAAAAAAAAAAGAAAAAGTATAACATGACCAGGAAGGTGTTATCCCACAAATAAAAGGTTGATTCAACATCAGACAATCTATTAAAGAAATGTACCACTTCAGCAGATTAGTGGAGGAGAAAACATGATTATCTCAACAGATGAAAAAAAAGCATTTGCTCTCTATAATTTGATTCAATTTAATTAAAAGACAGAATCCAAAACAAAGAAAACAAAACAAAAACCAAACCACCCTCCTTTCCATGATTACCTCTGTTGTCTGCTCCCGTCCATTTCTCCCTTTCCTTGTCATACTGTATCTTTCCTGCTCTTCTTTTTCCTTTAGAAACTCACACACCGTCATGGGTAATGCCTTTGCCTTGTTACCTCTGCATGGAATATTCTGTTCTCAGAGCTTCCCAGGGCTCCCTCTTGTCACTTAGGTATCAACACAGCTGTCATCTTCTGGGGCCTTGCTCAGACCCATCTCTAACTAACCAGCCCTCTACTGCAAGTTGCCCAGTTTTATTTCCCCCTGAACATTGATGATGGACATTGCCTTGCTTATTTACATGTTTGCTTATTCAGGATCTCCCGCTTCAAACGTGAGTTGTCCAGGACAGTGGGACCCTGTCTCTCCACTGCCCAGAACAAAACTGGGCAACTTTCAGGTGCCAAGGAAATGTTTGCTCTATTAACTGGCTCTGTTTCCTTGGCCATTATGGGGTCTTCTCGGGAAATTTTATAATGTGAGCAAATCAAACCGATTAATTTTTCAAATGTACTGTAATATTTGGGACTACATTTAACAGCAAAGTTGATAGGTTGCACTTTGTAGACACGAGTTTCAGATTTATTGATTTTGATTTTGCAGTTTTCTTTTGGTATTTGGGGTTGAAAACAACCTTTAACCTTTTCATAATTTTACCAAACTCGTAAACTAGGCCCTTTGCCTGTCATCTCTAATGGAAAATGGACCTGTTTGGGGCAGTTATGCCATGTTTGTCTCTTTCTCTTTGTTTGTGCTTCCAATAAATGGAATTTATTTCATTTTAAAAGTGCGGGTTGTGTGAGATTCTTCATTTGTTAGACCGCGCGGGTAGGTAGAGAGGACCTAACGGCTTAGTATTCTCGGTGGTGCGCGGCTGCACCACTTTCACCGGTGCCGGGAGGAGAGCGGCGCCCTCTAGTGCACATTTTGAGATCTGACGTTGAGTGAATGGATGGATCCGCAGCCAGGGCTGTTTTCTCCAGTGCCCTTAGGGGCCGCATTGATGTTAGAATACAAGTCAGGGACCATGTAGGCGTCCAGTTAGTATTTGTCGAATGAATTAATGTCTAGAACCATGAACTTTTCGGACTGCCCTAAAGAAGTGAGTCCGAAAAGCAGAGTCATAAAAATAAATGGTCCTGTTAGAGATGAAAGGAAGGTTGACAGCTGAGATAGAGGAGATAAGAAGCTGGAAGGAATGCAGTTAGAAATGTGTTTCTTGGGCCGGGAGCGGTGGCTCTCGCCAGTAATCCCAGAACTTTGGGAGGCCGAGGCGGGTGCATTACCTGAGGTCGGGAGTTCGAGACCAACCTGACCAAAATGGAGAAACCCCCGTCTCTACTAAAAATACAAAAAATGAGCCGGGCTTGGTGGCGGGCGCCTGTAATTCCAGCTACTCAGGAGGCTGAAGCAGGAGAATTGCTTGAACCCAGGAGGAGGAGGTTTTAGTAAACCGAAATCGCGCCACTGCACTCCAGCCTGCACAACGCAGCAAGTCTCCGTCTAAAAAAAAAGAAAGAAAGAAAGAAAGAAATGTGTTTCTTTTCCGGTTTAAAGAGGACATAAGAAGAAAACGTAGGGTAACTTTCCAGCGAGAATTAGCCCAAAAGCCAGCAGTGGAAGCTTGCTCACTAAGACCTACAATATCGAACAGGCCGTGCATCGATCGGGTGAGACACCAACTCCCAGTCGACTGCAGGAGGAGAGAGGCCGCGTGGAGAGGCAGTGGGAAGCCGACGACGCCAGCTGAAAAGCCGCGGCTGCTTTCATCTGTAAGTACGTGTTTCAAATGTAGATGTTTACTGGGGAAATTTGAACGCCAATGGGATGTTTGATATTACAGGATTGTTAATTTTTATTTTATTTATTTATTTTTTTTGAGACAGAGACTCACTCTGTCACCCAGGCTGGAGTGCAATGGCGTGATCTCTGCTCACTACAAGCTCCGCCTCCTGGGTTCAAGCGATTCTCCCGCCTCAGCCTCCGGAGTAGCTGGTATTACAAGTGCCCACCAACATGCCCGGCTAATTTTTGTATTTTTAGTAGAGACGGGGTTGCACCATGTTGGCCAGGCTGTTCTTGAACTCCTGAGGTCAGGTGATCTGCCTGCCTCGGCCTCCCAAAGGGCGGGGATTACAGGTGTGAGCCACTGTGCCTGGCCAGGATTATTAATTTTTCTTAGTTATGATTATGTTGTGCTTATGAAATACGAGGACCCTTATCCTTCAGAGATACGTACTGAATGAAACGCTGTCTGGGATTTGCTTCAGAATCATCTGGGGTGTGGGTGAGGGTGGGGGTAGAGGTGAAACAGCACTGACTCTGTGTTGATAATTTCGAAGCGGGGGGTGATAGGGAAAGTTCATTACACTTTGCTGTACTATCATCATGTGCTAGAATTTTCCCGTGACAAGTTAATATATGTTTGTATATGATCTTTTTGTTCCTTTTGAAAATTTCTCTCCTAAGACTCCTAAAGAAGCAAATGTGTTGGGACGAGGAGAGGAAATGTTTTTGGTTGAATTGAAGTTTTTGTTTCGGGCTATTTCCTTTGGCTCAAGAGACCATGATGGCTGAGAAGGGGGAGGGGCTAACAGGACTGCTTGCTTAATTTATATAGGGGGTGATTTCAAAATAGTCCCTTCAAGACTGAGAAAGGCCTTAGCTGGGTGCGGTGGTGCTTGTAGTCCCAGCTACTTGGGAGGCTGAGATGAGAGGATCGCTTGAGCCCAGAAGTTTGAGGCTGCGGTGAGCTATGATCACATCCCTGCACTCCAGCTTGGGAGACAGAGTGAGACCTTGTCTCTTTTCACAAAAGAAAGATTGGGAAAGGCAAACTAATGAGACAACTGATCCAAATAATTGTTTGTGGTTGAATTGATGGGAGGATGAATCCACTTTTCTTTTATTCTTCTTTTTTCTTTTCTTCTTCACTGCCCCAGTCAAGGGAGAACGTACTTTTCTATATTCACTGGAAAATATGAAAAGTTTTCCAAATAATACTGAACAAATAGAATTGCATCAAACACCTCTTTGCTGTCCATTGGATAGTTGGTATGAAGCAACTTTTGTTAAAAAATAGACTTTATTTTTAGAGCAGTTTTAGGTTCAGAGCAAAATTGAGCAGAAAGTACAGCAATTTCTCATATACTCTCTATCCCCACAAGCATAGCCTCCCCCACTATCAGAGTGGTACACTTCACACAATCGATGAATCTGCACTGACACATCATTATCACCCTAAGTTCGTAGTTTCCATTAGGGCTCACCCTCGGCGTTGTATATTCTATGGGTTTGGACAAATGTATAATGACACGTATCCACTGTACAGTCTTTCCACTGCCCTAAAACTCCTCCGTGCTCCACCTATTTATCCCTCCTTCTACCGAAACCCCTGGGAACCACTGAAGTTTTTACTGTCTCCATGGTTTTGCCTTTTCCAGAATGTTCCAGAGTTGGAGTCATATGGTATGTAGCCTGTTTGGATTGGCTCCTTTCACTTCATAATATGCATTTAAAATTCCCCCATGTCGGCCGGGCGCGGTGGCTCACGCCTGTAATCCCAGCACTTTGGGAGGCCGAGGCGGGCGGATCACGAGGTCAGGAGATCGAGACCATCCCGGCTAAAACGGTGAAACCCCGTCTCTACTAAAAATACAAAAAATTAGCCGGGCGTGGTGGCGGGCGCCTGTAGTCCCAGCTACTTGGGAGGCTGAGGCAGGAGAATGGCGTGAACCCGGGAGGCGGAGCTTGCAGTGAGCCGAGATCCCGCCACTGCACTCCAGCCTGGGCGACAGAGCGAGACTCCGTCTCAAAAAAAAAAAAAAAAAAAAAATCCCCCATGTCTTTTCACAGCTTGACATGTGCAGTGTTTGACTCTCCAGAATGACAGTTCCAAATGGGAATGCTTTGATGGTCTTTGCTGTTGTTTTAAACTAAATGCTTTTAAAAGGAAAAATGATATAAATAATTTTTGAGAATTCCAGCTCTTTAAAATGACTGTTATCTTCACCTGATCTCTCAGCCGCTTGGATACTAAATTGGGGGTGCAGGTGGGGAATGCCCAGCTCATGCCAGCATTTCAGATGCTGATGCCCATCTGTAACAGAATCCTCTGAATTAAGGCTAAGTGACGGCTCTGCTGAATTTTTGGAAGTAATTTCTGTGTTTGCCTGAATTTGGAAAAATTCTGAGGGACACTAGAAATGACTAGAGGTTTTATGAAGACATGCAACATTAACAACAACTTCCAGTCGAGACTGGTCGTGGTTTCCAGGCAGATGTGGAATCCTCTGGGTCTTCTTTCTGGAAAAGGGTGGGTGAGGGGCAGATAAGACAAGATTGACCATGCACTGACAATTTTGAAGCTGGATGAGAGGTAACTAGGGGTTCCTTATGCCTTTCTTTCTTTTCTTTTTAAGGATTGTGGTAAAATACACATAACATAACATTTACCATCTGCTATGGTTTGAATGCTTGTGTGACCTCCCAAAATTCATGTTGAAACTTAATCCCCAATGCAACAGTATTAAGAAGTGGGGACTTTAGGAGGTGATTAAGTCCTGAGGGCAAAGCCCTCATGAATGGGATTAACAACCTTATAAAAGGGCTGGAGGGAACTAGCTAGGCCTCTTTTTGCGCTTCCATGTGGGGACGCATAAAGAAGGCGCCATCTTGGAAGCAGAGGGCAGCCCTCACCAGACACTGAATCTGTTGGCCCCTTGATCTTGGACTTTCCAGCCTTCAGAATGGGGAGAAAATTTCTGTTCTTTATGATTTTATAAGTTTTTGTTCTTTATAAATTACCCAGTCTCAGGTATTTTGTTATAGCAGCGCAAACAGACTCAGACATTACCGTGACCATGTTTGAGGGGATGGTTCAGCAGTGTTAAATATACTCATATTGTGGTGCAACCAATCTCCAGGACATTTTCATTTTGCAAAACTGAAATTCCACTCCCATTAAACAACAACTCCCCATTTTCCCCTCCCCACAGGTCCTTGCAACCACCATTCTACTTTCTATTTCTATGAATTTGACTACTCTAGATACCTCATATAAATAAAATCAGGTGGTATTTTTAATTTTGTGACTGGCTTATTTCACTTAGCATGATGTCCTCAAGGTTTATCCATGTTGTAGCACGTTGAGACTGGATTTCCTTCCCTTTAAGGCCTGCACAATATTCCATTGCGTATATATACCATATTCTGTTTATCCATTCATCTGTCAATGGACATTTGGGTTGCCTCTATGTTTTGGCTATTGTGAATAATGATGTTGTGGATATGAGTGTACAAATGCCTCTCGATATCCTTCTTTCAGTTATTTTAGATGTATACCCTTCATTACACTCCTCATTCTCCAGCTGGAATACAATTAGTTTTGTGATTTGTTTCCTGCCACTGTGGTAGGCTACATGGTCAGTGCTGTGGATGGGTGAAACCAGAGGGTTAAAATTCCTTGAATTTGACAAAGTCATACACATTAACTTGTGTGTGTCTGTGTGTGTGTTTGAGATGGGGTTTGTCCTTGTTGCCCAGGCTGGACTGCAGTGATGCAATCTTGGCTCACTGCGACCTCCAACACCCGGGCTCAAGTGATCCTCCCACCTCAGCCTCCTGAGTAGCTGAGATGACAGGCGTGTGCCACCACGACCAGCTAATTCCTTCCTTCCTTCCTTCTTTCCTTCCTTCCTTCCTTCTTGCCTTCCTTCCTCCCTCCCTCCCTCCCTCCCTCCCCCTCTCTCTCTCTTTCTTTTTTATTGTAGAGACGGGGTTTCAACATGTTGCCCAGGCTGGTCTGGCACTCCTGGACTCAAGTGATCGGCCTGCCTTGGTCTCCCCTCAAAACATTTGTTTTTTTGTATTGAGTAAAGGCTCTTCAGTTGTTAGTTGTATAGCATTTAAGTTTGAGGTATTTGAAAATGGATGAAATAGAAAATCAAGCAGTATTTCTCTCAAATGCAATGAGCCAATATTTTTTTCACATTCTCCAACATATAGATGCAGAGATGAGGCTAAAGAACATGGAGAGCCTTTCCCATCTGGTAGCAATATATATATATATATATATATATATATGTTTTTGAGATGGAGTCTGGCTCTGTCACCCAGGCTGGAGTGCAGTGGCATGATCTCAACTCACTGCAGGCTTCACCTCCCAGGTTCAAGCGATTCTCCTGCCTCAGCCTCTTGAGTAGCTGGGACTACAGGTGCTCGCCATCATGCCCAGCTATTTTTTTTTTTTTTTGTATTTTTAGTAGAGACAGCATTTCACCATGTTGGCCGGCCTGGTCTTGAACTCCTGACCTAGGTGGTCCGCCCACCTCGGCCTCCCCAAGTGCTGGGATTACAGGCATGAGCCACCTCGCCTGGCCTCGTAGCAACATGAATTGAAGGTAAGTGATTAATTTTGGCCACATCCATTCAATGGGAAGGCAGGGAACCTCTTTTTGGGAAAAATAAACCTGCTTAATGTTTTCCAGAAAAATAGTTTATAGTATCTTGCCAAGAGCACAATCATTGCCAGTCGTACCCGGAGGCACAGAGGTTGTGAAAGGTGCCAATGTCATCTGTTTTGTATAACCTTGAATACCTTATGTGTGAAATGACTTTGTGTGTTTAAATGTGTAGGGCTTTTTGATATGGGGTTATTCTTCATGTATTCTGCATATTATGATATGTTTGGTGAATCCCAATCTTATAAAAGAGAAAGGAAAATCAGCACTGCTGGTAGCACTTGAAATTCAATAGGTGTAGAGATTATTATTATTAACAAAGTGACTAAAATAGGAGGACTCAATTTGGAAAATTTGAGACGTGAAGCCTTACTGGTTAAAAAGAAATCAATAGATAAAAGGTCATTAATTTAGTACTTTCATTTTTGTATTTTTTGAAAAAGAGGCCCCCCAAGTTCTATAAGCTTCAAGCTCCATAAATCCTGGATCTACCCCTGGTGACGGCTCGGCCCCTTCACTTGCTGGGAGGGGAAGGTAGTTTTATCAATAGAACATTCCCTTTGCCACATTGAATGCCACTTGATTGTCTCCCCAAGGACAGACCCTTCTCCTCAATTTCAAGGGCTCCGTGTGTGTGTGGGGGGGGCGTGGGGGGGAATTATGCAGTCATTGTCCCCTGTGTCTCATTCTAAAGCAGCAGGGGCTTGAGCACAGGCACGGGTGTCTCTGAAATAGTTGTGCGCTGGGGCCTCCTCCTGCCCCGTCAGGGAGAACGTGGTGGTGGTGGGGGGAGGAGCCATTATGGTGGTAATGTGTGTGTGTGTGTGTGTGTGTGTGTGTGTGTGTGTGTGTGTGTGTGTGTATGGCTCACACCGACCCCTGACTTTGCAGTGTCTGCCTAAAGTACTCGGCATTTTCGGTGACTCCTCATGTTGCTGATTTGTTCCCTGGGGGCTGCACCCTCTGCCTTTCCCAACCACGGTGTCTCTCTGCCCTTGCTGCCAGGTGTGTGGGCCCACTCTGCCCTTCACTGGGTAAATCCTCTTAGTGGGAGGCCACACCTGAGGCAGGAAGGGCTCTCAGCCCTGCAGCATGGGCTACGTCAGTGCCCAGCAGGGCTCCCAGCTCTCACCACCTGGCTGCCTATCAGGTGCCCTGACGCTGCAGCTGCACGCTCTTGATGCTTATGGGGCCAATTTTCCATCCTCCATCCACCACAACTTACGTATCCCGCTGTCCCATGTCCCTGTAGGGCTAATGAGAACTTCTCCAGGCCAAGCAGTGGCAAAGTGGTGCCAACAGCTCCATGCGTATTGGGGCTCCCACGTCACGTGAGGGTGCTGAGGGCCTCAAACGCCTTTCACCAGAGGCCTGACTAGTGCGGCAGGTCAGGAAACAAGAAGAGACTTTAGAAGAGGGAGGCCTTGCCTTGTGTTCCTCAGAACCGGGACACTTGGTCCTCACCGGGGTGAGGCTGGGCAGAGTGCACCCTCCAGCCGCCTGTACCTCCACAGCCCTGCAGGCCGAGAGATGCAAGATAAACTGTGGATGGCACCCACTTTGGAGTCAGGAGGCCTGAGACTCTCCCCCAGCTGGTTCCTTCACGACCTTGGGGAAGTCACTTCCTTTCTGGGGGCTACAGTTTCTTCACTGAAGAATGAGGAGGTTAGATGGGAAGTCACTACTTCCAAAGATTTGTTTTTTTTTTAATGAAAGTAAAATCTTATTTTTTCAAAATATCACTAGGAAGACCCATGGATCACCCCAGGAGTGTTCCAGCTACAGCATGGGATGGGTCTCCCTCTCCCCAGCAACCTTGTCTGCTGGGCCCACCCCTTAGGTGTCCGGGGGCCCCCACTAGAACCTGCAGAAAACATTTGGAACCCACTGGACTTGCTTGCAGGTCCCGTAGAGTCCCACCCTCTAGGATTCTCTAAGGAATTCACAGGTACCCCCTCCGACCCCCAACCACACTCTCCACAGACACATGCACAGAAACGTAAGCACTGCCCACAGCTGTGTGCACACACAGGGACTTTCAGAGGCATGATTCAGAAGCCACACTGGGCAAAGTGCCCTCCTGCTGTTTGTGTTCACTCACGCAGCCCTTGGCCGCCTTCTTCCTGTCTTCTTTATTTGCTGCTGTCACTCCCACCTCCTGTGGAGTAGACCAGATGGCCGCATCTGCCCAAGGAAGTGTCTACAGAGGAAATGGCAAAGTGCATTCCAGCCAAGGTAGAAATCACTGGCAGGCAAGCTCTCAGGGCCAAGGCACTGGGGCTTTGGAGTCCTGGCCTGGGTCCCTACCCAAACCCTTGTCCCCTCAGATACATCCCTAGACCCCTTCCTGAGCAACCTGGAAAGAACCCGCAGACCCATTTTCTGCACATTCCTCAGCCCCACAGGGAGAGGAAAATGCTCCACCTCCTCCAGTTGCTGCCCAGGCTGCCGGCTACGAGGGGCTGTGGCTTCCACATTCCCTTCTCCAGTGCAGCCAGGCTTGACCTTTCAGAAAATCCTTGACGATGGGAAGGACTCCCAAGGATGGCATAGAATAGCCAGGCCCAGCCCCTGGACCTGCATAAAGCAATTGTTTGGAGGCAGAGAGTCGGATGCCTGGTGAATGGGGGGCTGGTACTCAATATAGTCAGAGAAGGCAGTGTCCTTACTCAGCTGCTCTCAGAGCGAAGGCACTTGCCCTCTGCAGGCTGCCCCAGAAGCCAAAGGAAAGCAACTGGAAGCTAAAGGGAAGGTTTGGGGACTTTAATAGCTGATATAGTTTGGATATTTGTCCCTGCCCAAATCTCATGTTGAATGAAATGTAATCTGCAGTGTTAGAAGTGCCTGGTGGGAGGTGTTTGGGCCATGGGGGCAGATCTCTCATGAATGGCTTGGGCCATCCTCCTGGTGATGAGTGAGCTCTTGCTCTGAGTTCACATGAGATCTGGTCATTTAAAAGTGTGTGGCACCTTCTACCTCACCAACCCCCCACCTCTCCCTCTTTCTCTCTCTGTCTCATGCTGAAGGAGACATGGAACAGTGAGATTCTCCCTTGGAGCCTCCAGAAGGAACCTGCCCTGTGGACACCTTGATTTTAGCCCTGTAGGTTCATTTCAGACTCTGGACTTCCAGAACGCTAAGAGAGTAAGTCTGTGTTGTTCAAGCCACTTTTTGTGGTGGTTTATTATGCAGCAATGGAGAACAAATACACCCGGCATGTCCTGGGACAAAGCCTGGGGACGGCGGGGGGACTGAGCTGGACGCCCATACCCCAAAGCACGAAGGGAAGAGACCAGCAGCTAACACTCGAAGAGGCCGACTAGTTCTCAAAAGGGAGAAGAGGTATGGCCTGAAAGCCAAGGAGCAAGGGAGATGCTAACTCTAACCGCATTATTTTTTTGGAGACAGGGTCTCCCTTGGTCACCCAGGCTGGAGTGCAGTGGTGCAATCATGGCTCACTGCAGCCTCGACCTCCTGGGCTCAAGCGATCCTCCTGCTTCAGCCTCCAGAGCAGCTGGGACCACAGGTGTGCACCACCACGCCCTGCCCCCTAACCCCATTTTCTGTCCCTGGGGTACATGGGGTGTGAGATAATAAACAGTCCCCACTGGAGAGAGATTATTTAATCCTCATCCTACTCCACAAGACCATTATCGTTACGATCTTCCTTCTATAGATCAGGAACCTGAAGTACTTGGGGGTGGAGGTCACTTGCTCAAGTTCAGGCAGTTAGGAAGGGCAAAGCAGAGGTTTGAACCGTGCCTGCACCTGTGAAGTTTGGAAACCATCATCGCATTCCCCCAGGGGAATAGTCTAGGATCTGAGTTCCAGCTTCTCCATCTGAGGCAGCGGTCCCCAGGCGCTGGCAGCAACGTGCAGCTGCTGGGGTACGAGGCAGCTGCCTGCAGAGACCGTGCCTTCCCCTTGGTGCAGATGCAGTGGGCAGCCTGCACTTTGCTGCTCCTGTGTCCGACTCCTTGGGGTTCTGTTCTGGAGACAGAGCTCAGTGGACTCACAAGACGGTCACTTTCTTCTGTTGAGTCCCTGAGTTTATTTGATGAAATCCAGAACTGAAGTTCCTGGAATAAGTCATCTTACCACCAGTGTTTTGAATTAACGAACTCAAATGTCATCTCCTCCCACACAAACATTTCTCTTTAGACATACAAGGATGAAGATGAAGAGAAAAAGCCAGGCCATATGCTGGGCTGTGGTGCGGATTACATTCTGTGTCCGGGGTGCTTGTTCGAATGTCCTACTTGGACGAGCTATTTGTGGGGCATAAGCAGAGAACCCAGACACAGATGACTTGGGAGGGGGCTCAGGATGCTTCAGTTTCCCCAGACACTCCTGGCTGTGCCATTGCTCTGCCCACTGGGAACAGTTTATATGATTCTCAGATAAGAACCACATCAGCAGAGAAGCCAAAAAGGAGATACGACCCTTGTTTCATCGTCCCTTGGTTCCAATTTCCTCAGGGGATTGGGCTACTCTAAACTTTTCTTGAAGTGAACAAGTCTTGAGATACATTTTTTTTTTTTTGAGATGGGGGTCTCACTCTGTTACCCAGACTGGAGTGCAGTGGTGCAAACACAGCTCACTGCAACCTCAACCTCCTGGGCTCAAGTGATCCTCCCACCTCAGCCTCCCGAGTAGCTGGGACTACAGGCATGCACCACTACACCGAGCTAAGTTTTTATTTTTTGTAGAGATGGAGTCTTGCTATTATGCCCAGGCTGGTCTGGAACTCTGGAGTTAAGTGATTTTCCTGCCTTGGCCTCTCAAAGAGTTGGAATTACAGGCATGAGCCACTGTGCTGGGTTATGAATATTTTTTTAAATGACGTGCATTCCAAAACAGTTTCACAGGGCTATAAGGAAAAGAAGAAAATTAGGCAACTATTTTGTATACTGCTTATAAAAAATACCGTTGATTTTCTTTCCTAGGTGTAATTAGCTTTTGAGTGGGAAAGCTTGTATTCCCACTTTGAATATTCTATTCAAAGTCGAGGACAGTCAAGTACCTCACATTCTAGAGAGAACATCAACAGTCCTCTTGGCAGTTATTGAAAAGGGACAGACCAACTCTGTCACCCCACTCTCCCTTCATCGGCCCACACTCAATACCAACACCAGTCTGGAGTGCATACTTGGAAGACTTGAAGGGGGAAAAGGAGTGAGAAGGAGGGGCTGTTGGAACCTTGAGCTGTGGGGAAGAGAGGCTTTGCTTAGGTGCTGGGGAGACTCCAGCTCCCACTTCAGCCCTGTGTCTGGGCCTGCTCCATGGTGGTGCTGAGGCCCTTCTGTGCCTGTGAAGCTGGACTATGAGAATTTTGTCTTTCTTGTGACTCCCTTTTCCACAGATCTTGGAGTTCAACAGGACACACAAGTCCTAGAACATTTAAAAACATAAGTAAATCCCCCTCCTTCTCCCACCTGGAGAACTTAGAATCGTCATGCCAACTTCTGGAGGCAATGGTCTTCAGATCCGCTTGGCTGTGGCCAAACTACAGGGTGTCATGGAGAAACACAGTCTGGTGGGAGGGGGCAGATGATGAAAGCAGAAGACAGGAAAGACAAAGACTTCTTGGTGTTATCTTCCATGGTGAGTGTGCAGTTTCCATATTCTCCAGCTATGAACTTGAACTCAATGGGAGAAATCTCCCAGTAAGATGTTATGTGGGTGGTGGCCGAGTAGGGGTGGGTTGGTCGCTGTGAACTGTCTGAGACTCTCCTGTCTTAACATTGGAGAAATGGAGACTTGAAGAGGTGAAGCAAATTTCCCTAGATGACTTGGGAACGTTGGGTTGTGGGGAGTTGGGTTTGAACTTGGACATTCAGTTTTGAATCCACGTGCTTACAGAGGGGTAGAGAAGGCTCTAGGGCATGAGAGTCAATTACTCAGCAGAGAAGGGAAAGGGAGAAGATTTCACACATTCCTGCCCTTCTGAGTTGATTTCAATCCTATCTGAGTAATAGACATCATTATGGTTAATATTTGTCTCTGATTGGTCGTCTTTGTTTTGACTCCCCCTGAATTAAGGATTCAAGGGCAAGTAGTTTATTTGAGAGTGGATCCCGAGAAACCCTGGTGGGGGAGTGGGAAAGTGAGAAAGAGAGGAGGCCACTGGAGGATGACTGGTAAGTTCATTTCCACTTTGGGCCACTGAGCTTGATCCTGCTGGGGAACCCTGGCAGGTACGTCTCAGATGCCAACCATGGAGCAAGAACACAGGGGTGTTCTTTCCATCTGGCCTTGGTGGCAGCATCTCCCAGGGGCACTGTGTCCCTGGTGCTCTGGTCTGTGGAGAGTCATAGGTGCTCTTGTTAAGCATCTGTGTGCACGGAGAGGAGAGTGCTTGGGAGGGATAGGGGGTGGCATCAAGGGCATCTGCAAACCTCAGGCAGCTGGAGGATGGCCAGGTGGCTGCCTCTCTGTAGCTCGTGTCCTGAAGTGTCTTTCTGTGCCCACTTATTTGTGCTCGACCTTGGGCTGCAAGTTTGTTGATAGTTACAGGGGGTGGCTCCAGCCACCGTGTTGGGTGTCTCACCCTGTCCAACCCCTGATCTTTATTGTGGACCAGGCTATAGACAGATCTTTGTCAGCTGCCCCTGTGAGTCTTCTGTGCAGACACCTTCCTGTGGAAGAGTTGGTCTCTGGTCACTGTTTCAAGTCTCTGCTGCGGCCACAGCTTTCTTATCTCTCACTTTGGGGATCTCAGGAAATGAGACACCAGGAGGTGTCTGCTGTACAAAATCCTATTTGCTCAAGGAACCTGCATATCTCAGCTCATGTTTCTTAATCATTTTTCTGATTCTAAAAAGTCGATGACAAAACTTCGATAGAAACACAGTTCTAGCATTTGGGATTGGAGGAAGAAGTGTATTCAGCATTCTACCTTCTTCCTGATTCTGTGAGCTTAGACCTGCTTCCACTTTCAATCTCTCTCATTGCAGGCTGAAGAGGACTGGCCTTTCAGTGGCCCTCGTGGAACGGTAGGAAGCTGAGCTGGACTCTCTGCCACATCGTTCGGTTCCCACAACAGCCTGGTAGGTCGGGGTAGTCACTTCCATTTGGGAGATGAGGAAGTCGAAGGAGAGAGCTAGAGTGAGCCAGAACTTAGGGCTGATCACAAATTGGATGAGTAATTGAGATAACTAGGATGGCCCCTAGCTAAGGCTGCAGGCAATGCCCCAAGGAGACTGTCACCTTTTTGTTACAATTTTCCAGGGTGTGATAGGACTTAGGAGGATGGTGTGTCTGTCCCTAGGACTGTAGGTTGTTCTAGAGAAAAACAAAATTTTAAGGACTTTTTCTTTGTGCATATGCCTCAGGTAGGCATCATGTGGGCCTAGGCAATAGGACCTAGGAAGGAGACTCCCCTGTTCCCAGGCCTGCCGCTCCTACTCAGGAGGCTGAAGGGTCCCCACCCCAACTAACCACAGAGTCAGACACATTCTTCCTAACACACCTTCCTCCCGACCTCCCAGCTTCCCTCTTTGTCACTGAAGTCATAGACTTTTTTTTTTGAAGAATTATCAACCTAAATAACAAACAGAAGCGATTCTCCAAAGATGATGAATTTATTTGGAAATGAGCAGCATGATTGTGATGCGGAGTGCCCGTGCCACAGCAGCCATGGGCGCATCCAGGAGGCTGAGGCAAGGGGAAGCTTTTAAGGGCACAAGGAAGACTGGGTGTGGTGACTCACGCCTATAATCCCAGCACTTTGGGAGGCTGAGTCGGGTGGATCACTTGAGGTCCGGAGTTCAAGACCAGCATGATAAACATGGTGAAACCCCATTTCTACTGAAAATACAAAATTAGCTGGGCATGATGGCACATGCCTGTAATCCCAGCTACCTGGGAGGCTGAGGCAGGAGAATCGCTTGAACTTGGGAGGCAGAGGTTGCAATGAGTCAAGATCGTACCATTGCACTCTAGCCTCGGCAATAAGAGCGAAACTTGGTCTCAAAAAAATAAAGGCAAAAGGAGGAGTGCACAGGAGTTGTTGAGTTGTTTTTGAACAAAGAGAACATTGGTTACTTGGGCACAGGAGTTGAGGTCAGATTCTTAGTGGAGATGGCATGTGAGGTGAGAGTGCTCCAACATGTGGCCGGCCGTCCAGTGACTCCTGTGGCAGGCTGCAGTTGGGAAGGCCCTTGGAAATAGTCCTTATTACAGGCATATGTGTGTCACAGCCTTCAGAGAGTCTTTGTAATAGTCCTTTTTTTTCCTTTTCTTTTTAGAAATGGGGTCTTGCCTTGTTGCCCAGGCTGGAGTGCAGCAACGTGATCATAGTTTACTGTAGCCTGGGCTCAACTCCTGGGCTCCAGTGATCCTCCCGCCTCAGCCTCACAAGTAGCTGGGACCATAGGTGTGAGCCACTGTGTTTGGCTGTAATCGTTGTTATTGTAGGCGCATGTGCATGAGGACCCTCCCTTCTTAGGCTCCTGACTCTACTTTGCTTGGGTTTGAAACAAGTGACTCCATCTTGAAATGGACAACTGGCACAGAATAGAGCATTTCAAGGGCAGATTAGATGGCAACTTAAAAAAAAGGTAAAGAAAAATTAAAGAAAAAATTAAAGGTAAGGAAAAATTTACACTTTCTAGGAACTTCACGAAGGAAGGGAAACATGAGACAAAGAAAGAGAAGTGGTTATCAGAAACTAAACTGCACGAGGCTTGTGAGGTTTCTCATGTTCCTCCTGGAACTTCCTCCTAGACTGTATTCTGCCATCTGCTCTGGGGTCACGAGGGAAAGGGCCCCTCTCCTTTCATGGCCTAGAAAGCGTGGCTCTGAGCCATTCTTTGGGCTGAGGTGGGTGTCTGGGGTGCTGGTGGGGACAGCCAGGCCCTGCCTTCCTGGGTACCTCTTGCTGCTTGTCAACAGACCCTGCCCTCCATACTGTGAGGGATTGAAGGATTAACTCCAATTCTTTCCTGTCCTCCATTCATACCCATGCCATTGCTCATCTTGGGCGGACTGTATTTCCCTGCCCATTGAGTTTCGGTTTGGTCTTGTGACTTGCTTTGGCCACTAGAATGGGGCAAAGTGAGAGGGTTCCCGTTCTCAGCCTGCCCCTTGTAAGACCCTGCAGGCTTCTGCTGGCCTCCTGGGTTTCTGCCCTTGCCTGGGGGCTTTCCCTGGGTGGTTTCGGTTCCTTCTACTTGGTACCTGAAATGAAGACATGTGGGACAAAGCCACTCCAGCTGACCTAGAGATCAACAAGATGAAGCCAGTAGACCCACAGATGACTGAGAAATGTGTTTATTGCTGTATCTGTGCCATGTCGATTTTTGTGGTTGTTTGCTGTATGTCACTATTTTGGCAATAGCTATATATTCCCTTTTCCTTCTTCTCTGTGCTCTGGTCTGAATTAATGCCTCTTTGTTTCATCTCATTTCCCATTGCTTTTCACTTTATTATAAAAGCACTGCAATTTATACATTGAAGCAGAAAAGAAGGGTGGAATCCCCATAATTCCATACCCTTCTGTGAATACACTGGTGTCCAGACTGTTGGAATATATTCATTTATTCTCTCTTCATATGTACATTTAAAAGATGAATCAATTCTTTTTTTTTTAAAAGCAAATTGTTTCATTTAACAATACATGGTAAATATACTTGGTGTTAGTGCTGTCTTCAGGGTTCCGTGGAGCGTTTTACAGTCTTCTTTTTAGCACCCTCCTAAAGATGTTGAAGGAGGTGGGTGATGGGGTTGCCTGACTCCTTCACCAGGAGCATCCTCACATCCATCTCTTTCACACATTGGGGTTTCACATGCGCGTTTATTTGCAAAACAGGGCTCTGCTACAAAAATCACCAGTTGAAAATCACCAATCTAAAAACTGCTTTTTATGTGTTTTAATGATATACCATGCAACATTATTATAACCAATCCCTTATTTGAAAATTTAGGTTGTTTTGGGTTTTATAATTAAAATCACATGCTTATGGCATATATTTGTGTATACTCTTAATTATTTCCTTACAATAAATTATTAGAAGTGGACATATAATTTCTATAAGTGTAGGTATAAAATCCTGGCAGTAGAATTTCTAAAAGTGGAAAGCATATGTTCATGTAAAGGCTGCTAAATTGCCAAAATACCCTCCCAAAACCTTATCAGTTACTCTTCCACTGGCAGTGATGCCAGGTAGAACCTCTGACTGTTTGGCAAATGAATGTTTGTATCTTGTGGCTTTAAATTACTGTTCTTTACTAATTAAATGAGGCTATTTCTTCATATAGTTATTACCATTTGCATATCTTGTCTTGTGAATTTTTTGTTTATGTGCTTTGAGCATTTTTTTTGACTAGGATGTCATCTTTTTCTCATTGATTTATAATACCACTTATATATGCTATGTTAGAAAGAATGCTGGATTATAATTTGATGTATTAAGATGGTCTGGCTGGCATTACAGATTAGTAGAGAGTAGAGGATGAAATATCCAATAAGCAGTGCTAGGACAACTAATTATTTATATGAAAAAATAAAATTTTATATATATAATTTTTTAAATTATAAATTTTATAATTATAAATTATAAAAATAAGAACACTCTGTTGCTCAGGCTGGAGTGCAGTGGTGCGGTCTTGGCTCACTGCAACCTCCACCTCCCAGGTTCAAGTGATTCTCCCGGCTCAGCCTCTCGAGTAGCTGGTAGGTGAGCCCCACCATGCCCCCACTAATTTTTTGTATAGAGATGGGGTTTCACCCTGTTGGCCAGGCTGATCTCGAACTCCTGACCTCAAGTGATTCACCCACCTCGGCCTCCCAAAGTGCTTGGATTACAGGCGTGAGCCTCCGGGCCGGTCATAAAATTACATTTTTATCTCACTCTATTCACAAAAAATTCCACTGTGAAAAAAAATAAAGCTTCCAGAAGAAATATGAGGAAGATTTTCCAGTTTTTAAGGTACACAAAAAAAGCACAAATCATAAGAGAAAATATTGATAATTTTGACCAGATCAAAGTTCTGTATAATAGAAGACATTATAAACTACATCAAAATACAAGCCACAGACTTTGAAAAGACACCTGCAAAGCATAAAATAGTGAATTATTAGTACAGATGCTCCTTGATTTACGAAGGGATTATGTCCTGATAAATTCATTGTAAGTTGAAAATATAAATGGAAAAGGCATTTAATATATCTAACCTATGGAACATCATAGCTTAGCCTAGCCTACCTTAAACATGCTCAGAACAACCACCCGAGCCTATAGTTGGGCAATAGTCATCTAACACAAAGCCTATTTTATAATAAAGTATTGAAAAATCTCATGGAATTTATGAAATACTGTGGAGCGTTATGAGAAAGTATTGTACTGCGTATTGCTAGTCTGGAAAAAGATCAAAATTCAAAATGCAAAGTACAGTTTCTACTAAATGCATATCGCTCTCTACTATTGTAAAGTTGAACAATTGTAAGTCAAACAATCCTAAGTGTAAGTCAGGGACTATTTGTACATAGAACATAGAAAAATGGATGTGGTGTCTCACACCTATAATCCCAGCACTCTGGGAGGCCGAGGTGGGAGGACTGCTTGAGCTCAGGAGTTTGAGATCAGCCTGGGCAACATGGCGAAAGCCCATCTTACAAAAAAATACAAAAATTAGCTGAGCATGGTGGTGCAAGCCTGTAGTCACAGCTACCTGGGAGATTGAGTTGAGAGGATCACCTGAGCCCAAGAGGCCGAGGCTGCAAAGATCCGAGATTGCACTACTGCACACTAGCCTGGGCAACAGAATGAGATCTTGTCTCAAAAATAAAAAAGAAGAACATATAAAAATGTGGAACATAAAATATAGGATATAAGAAACATACAGCATATCAAATGCCTATAACTTAATAAGGAATGTGCAGACAACCCAATAAAAAATTGGGCAAAGGATATGAACAGGCAAGACACAGAAGACATTTAAACATTTAAAGCATGCTCAGCCTCACAGCTAATCAAACAATCTGATACCATCTCACACCCACCAGTCTGGCAATAAAGTCTGATAATACCAGCTATTGGTGAAGATGTAGAGAAATGATAACTATCAACCACTGTCAAACACAAATGTAAGTTTTTATAAACAGGACAGCAATGTGATGATATCCAGTGAATTTAAAAATGTGCATTCCCTAGGACAAAGAAATTTAACTTTACAGTATAGACTCCAGGGGAGCTCTCATCTGTATTTGTGTTAATTGTAACCTTATTTGTAGTAGGAAAAATTGGAAGCAGCCTGTAGGTTCATCACTGGAAGGGTATATAAAGGGCTACAGCTGTATCTGAAATATTTTCACTTAAAAAATCTGGAGCAAAAATGACAAACTGCTTAGACTTAATGAGCTGGGTGTTGAGTACACGGGTTATTTTCCATGCTTGTTCACACACTGTGCAATACCTTGTTTTAAAAAGATGATATTGTATTAGGAACCCAGGAATACCCTGATCCAGCTCCAGACCACAGTCAATCCTCCTTATTTTGTCTAGGCTGACCCTGGGGCTGGAATCTGTGGCACCTTCAAAAAGAGTGATGTGGAGGGTAGAAAGAAGCGTCACCTGTGGCAGGAATTGCAGAGCAGTAAGGAAAATGGGCATAGGGAAATCTCATTTGTTTTATGACAGTTTTGAGATATAATTCACATGCCACAAAATTCAACCATTTAAAGTGTACAAGTCAATAGTTTTTAGTATATTCACAGATATGTGCAACCCAGCACCACAGTCAGCCTCATAACATTTCTATCGCCTTGTATAGAAACTCTGTACTTTAAGGATCACTCTTCATCCTCCCATCTCCTCCCAGCTCTAAGCAACCACTCATCTACTTTCTGTCTCTATAGGTTTGACTAATCTGAACATTTGAAGTAAGTGGAATCATATAATAGGTGGCCTAATGTTTTCAAGGTTCATCCATGTTGGATCATGTATCAGTACTTCATCCCTTTTTAGGGCCAAATAATATCCTCTTGTATGGAAATACTGCATTTTGTTTATCCATTTATCAGTTGACGTTGAGTTGTTTCCACTTTTTGCCTATTATAAATAATGCTGCTACAAACATGCATGTACTACTTTTTGAGTAGACATGTTTTCCTTTTTTGGGTAAATACGTAGGAATGTCATTGCTGGATCATTTGATTATGTTTCACCATATGAGGAACTGCTAGACTGTTTTCCAAAGTGACTGCACAATTTTACATTCCCACCAGTGATGTATGAAGATTCCAATTTCTCCACATTCTCACCTCTTCCACATTCTCCTGATCCTCACTCTCTTGTTATCTGACTTTCTGATTACAGCCATGCTTGTGGGTATGAAGTCGTGTTCTCTTTTGGTTTTGATTTGCATTTCCTTTATGACTAATGATGTTACACATCTTTTCATGTGCTTCTTGGCTATTTGTGGGACTTCTTTGGAGAAATGACTATCCATATCATTTTCCCATTTTAAAAAATTGGGTAATTTGTCTTTTTATTATTGAGTCATAACATTTCTTTATATAGTCTAGAGACAAGTTCCTTATGAGATATGTGATTTTCAAATGTTTCTCTCATTCCGTGGTTTGTATTTTCACTTTTTAAGTAGTGTCTTTTGAAGTACAAAAGTTCTGATTTTGATAAAGCCCAATTTATCTATTTTTTCTTTTGTTGCTCATGCTTTTGATGTCATATCTAAGAACCTATTGTCAAATCCAATCATGAAGATTTGCGACCATGTTTTCTAAAAGTTGTATAGTTTTAGCTCTTATGTTTAGGTCTTTGATCCATCTTGAGTTAATTTTTGTATATGGTGTGAAGCGAGAGTTCAATGTCATTATTTTATATGTGGCTATCCCATTATCTCAGTATGATTTGTTGAAAAGACTACGTTTTTCCCCCATTGAATGGTTTTGGCACTCTTGTTGAAAATTAATTGACCATATATGTGAGGGTTTATTTCTGGACTCTTAGCTCTATTTTATTGATTTATATGTTTATCCCTATCTCAGTATCACACTATCTAGATTACTGCTGCTTTGTAGTAAGTTTGGCAATCAGGAAGTATGAATCCTCCAGTTTGTTCTTTTGTCAGAGTATTTTGGCTAGTCTAGGTCCCTTGAATTTTTATATGAATTTTAGAATTAGCTTGTTAACTTCTACAAAGAAGCCACCTGGGATTCTAATAGGGCTTTCTTGAATGTATAGATCAATTTTGGGAGTATTGCCATATTAACAATCTTAAGTTTTTTGATCCGTGAATATGGTATATTTTTCATTTATGTAGACCTTTAATTCTTTCAACTACGTTTTATAGTCTTTAAAGTATAAATTTTAAACTTTTATTAAATTTATTTCTCTTGTTCTTTTTGGTGCTATTATAAATGGAATTGTTTCAACTTTATTTTCAGATTGTGCATTGTTTTGAGATATAATTGGTTCTGTATATTGACCTTGTATCCTGTAAGCTCGATGAAATTACTTATTAATTCTAATAGTTTTATTTAGTAGATTCCTTAGGATTTTCTGTGTAGAAAATTTCTATGTAATTTGTGAATAGAGATAGTTTTATTTCTTCCTTTCAAATATGGATGCCTTTTTTGTGTGTGTGCTTAATTGCCCTGGCTAGAATGTCTACTTAATGCTGAATAGATGTGGCAAGAACAGCCATCCTTGGCTTGTGTCTAATCTTGAGGGAAAGCATCCAATCTTTGACTATTAAGTATAATTTTATCTGTGTGTTTTTTGGTAGATTCCTTGTATCAAATTGAGGAAGTCTCCTTCCATTCCTAGTTTATGAAGTGTTTCATTACAAAAAAGCATTAGATTTTGTCAAATATTTGTTCTGTATCTGTTGAGATGGTTATGTGTGTGTATGTGTGTGTTCTTAAAAGTCTTTTGATATGGTGTAGTACATTAATTGATTTTCAGATGTTAAACCAACCTTGCATTCCTGGGATAATTCCCACTTTTTCATGGTGTATAATTCTTTTTCTATATTTATGGATTTGGTATGCTAGCATTTTGTTGAGGACTTTTGCATCCACACATCTATATTCATAAGAGATATTTGTTGTTCCCTTCCCTTCCCCTTCTCCTTCTCCTTCTGCTTCCTCTTCCCCTTCCCCTTACCCCTTGCAGGTCTTCAGGAGTGCCTTTCACCAGTCCTTAGTCCTGGCCCACTGGCCTCTTGGGTCTGCCTTTCTTTTCAGCTTCCACAGGGAGCTTGGGGTGTGGGAATCTGCGCTGAGGCCCCTGTGCTGCCTGCCCAGGATCCCTGGGGAGCCACTTCTCTCAGGGGTCTCCCAGCACCTTTGCTGTGCTGCTGGGAAGTGGGATGCGGCCCCTTCTCTCAGGGCTTCCTGGCCTGCCTCTCACTTGCCTTTCTCATTCCATCAAGTATGTGGGTAGCAGGAAGGGGAAACTCTGGGGCCTGAGGGTACCCCCTACCTTCATCTTCCTGGCCATGTGTGTTCTCACATCCCCTCCTCTGGCCATCTCTCTGAGGCTGATGCTGTTGGAAACAAGGTCAAGGCGCCTCTCAGGCCTTTTCTTCTTCTGATTCTATCCCTCTCTTCCGGCAAAGAGCAGGAGCCTGCTAGTGCCTACATGGGAGGGCAGGGCCACCAGGGCGACAGTGTTGTGTGTGCGGGTGGAAGCACAGGGAGCTATCTATTGTGATGAACCCCAGCAAGGAGGGAGGAATGTGGCTACGAGCGATGCCTGGATTGCTGCTTGATTTTTCTAACACTTTCCTACTTCTCGCCTGCAGATGAAGCAGCAGCAGAAAAAATGGAAGCCATTTTGGTTAACGGGTCACATCTTAGCAGTTGGCAGCGTAAGAAGCGGAAGGATCCACTGGTCAGAAATGGAGATTGAGGAGAAGCTGAGAGCACGGAGGGCTTCAGGGGAGAGCCTGTCCTTTGGAAAAGCGGGCAATTTGCACTCGTGGTAGATGAGTGGGGAGGCCGCTCAGTCTCTCTGCCCCTTTGCACATGCTGCACCCGTTTAGTTTGACGTCGTGGAGAGCTCCTCCAGGCACGGGCTGTGTGAAAGGGTTTAAAAGTTTGGGGGCATGGCTGGGGGTCCCCGCATGAGGGGTGCTGTGTAGGCTCCCATCTTTTCTGCCGGTCATGCTGGGAGCCAACAGCACCGGCTCCTGACGTGGGGACTTGCCCTGTGCCATGACGTGGGGACTCGCCCTGTGCCCTGCGCCCCGGTTCCTGCTGGTTCTGTGCCTTCTGGACTCATTTCCTTTCCAGGGTCCGCAACCGCTTCCGACACAATCACTATTTTGGCTGCGGCCACGGCTTCATTCGCTTCAGCTGCGAGCTTTTCTCAGCGCAGAGAGCACAGGGAAGCTGGGAGGAGTCCGCCTAGATGGGTAAGGACGGTATTTTTGGCAGCAGTTCCGGGGACCCTCCCCTGATCAGCCTGCACTTCCGCCCTGGGTTGAGGGGAGCATTTCCAGCGAGGGGGCGAAGAGGTGAGAGCAGCTGGGGAGAGCCAGGGGCTGAGGGCCCTTTGCTTTCTGAAGTGTGGCGTCATCACGGGTGCTGAAGGAGACACAGGGTGGCTGCGTGATCAGTCTCTGCCCTGGAATCTCTGTGTTCAGCCCATGTCATCTTCTCAGGAGTGATGGAAGCTCCCACTGGAGAACACTTTCTGGTCTTGAGCCCCCCGATCTCTTGATCCCTATGGCAGTGAGCCCCGACTCTTGCTCTGGTCGCCACTGGATCATCTGTGGGTGTTGGCAGGAACCTGAAGGTGTTGGAAGGGGTTGAGGGTAACGCATAGCCTGTGCTAGAATATGTGGGGGAATGTCCACAGGAGACGGGATGGAAGAGAGAGAAGAGGACGCCCCTGCTTCCAGGGGCAAGTGGGTACAACCAGAGGACGGGACAATGTTCCCCTGGAGAATGGCCCAGGCTCCATCTAGACCTGGCTGGTCCCAGTCCCAGGCTTGTCCTAGGTCCTTGGCATCCGTGCTGGTAGCAACCCCAGGGCCACCCTCAGCGTCTCATGACGTCTACCCTTCTCTGGCCCCTGTAGAAATTATGTTCAAGAGAAAACACCCGGGGGGTCACAATGATAACAATAACACCACCACCTGTGCCCCGTGGGTGTGAGGCTGTCATGGAGAAAGCAGAGCTCCTGAAGGGGCCTCAGCTGAGAAACGGCTAGAATTTCCTGTGTGGGTTGTGGGGAGTGACTATGGAATTCAGAGGCAGAGCGGAATCTACTTGGGCTGTTGTGGCAGGAACCTAGACTCCAGAGGGACCCTGGTTAGGCTCTCAGAGAAGGGAGCCCCGGAAAGTGAGCCAAGGAACGGGCCTTTGTCCCCAAGGCTGGAGCCACAGGCTCTGTTTCCCTGGCCAGAGGCAAGGGGGGCCCTTTGGGGTCTCATGGTTCAGGTGGCCTCTTCTTTCTTAGGCCTCTTCCTCCAGATCCCCACTCCCCCCACGGGGCACAGCCCCATGTGTGGAGTCGGCCTTGACTCTGCCCTTCAGTCTCCCTGCCCAGAGCCGGCTGCACCGGCTGTCATTCCCCAGTCCCGCTTCCCGCAGGCCCCTACCCAGATACTGATGCTGTGGCACCCACCACCACATGGGGGACCCTGGGCAAAGCGTTAGTGCTTGACAGACATTGGGTCCTCCGGTCCCCCTCCAGTGCCATGAGCTAACAGTTGTATCCCCATCACACAGATGACAAAACTGGGAGGCAGCACGGTTCATGAGCTTGTGCAAGTTCACACAGGGCGTGATTGACGGGGCTGGGATTCAGATGCAGTTAGGACACTGCCTTATCTCAGGCTCTGCTGCTCCCCAGACTTCTTGGCCCTGACGCTCCTTTCGAGGTTATGGAACTCTCTTGAATGTCTCTGTTGGCTGCAGCCAGCCAATTAATTACCCTGCATGAATGGGGACTATGGGTGACAGTTTCCGCTGTCCCAAGTTCTGGCTGAAGTCTCCATTCTATTGGGTTAGGGGCCAGATGCCTGAGGACCTGCAGGAGGCCAGGGCTGCATGCTGAATGAGAACTTTACCTGGGCCACCAAGTCCTTCTGAGCACAGGTGCTGCTCCCTGCAGTCAGGACATGCTGGCCGGGGTCTCTGACCTTCACCTGGAATGCTCCTGGAAGCCCCTGTGTGACAATCTCCACCACAGTCAGCTGCAGCCTCACAGGCCTTGTGTCATTTCCCACTATAGGACCAGGGAACCAGGCTGACCAGAAGACCTACGAGGAGAAATAGAAAGCTTGGGAGGTTGAAGTGGAAAGCCAGGTGTCCATTTCTCTGCCTGCAGAATGAGTCCCCAGGGAGCCCAGCGGCCAGGGCAAGGTGTCAGGGGCCCCGTCACAGCTGCGGGAAGGCCACATGGGGGGCAGCTGTGGGCATGGGGCCAGAGCCCAGGAAGCTGTGGCTCTGGGGGAGGGTTTGTGCCCCTGGGATGTCTGAATGCAGCTCTGGGGTGGGGCCAGCCTGGGCCTGGAGCTCCTGCAGGCTGGTCTAGTGCCAGGCCCGGGGGAAGGCAGAGTCAGAGACTGGGGGACTTTGCTTCTGCTCACTGTGTCTCCAGTGTCAGGAGCTGGCTCAGGACTCGTGAATGTCCACATCAGAAGAGGGGCTTAAGCCATGAGGATTGAGGCTTCCCTCCAGACCTGAGTGGGTGGGGAGGGGAGAGGGTGAGGGCAATGGCCACACCTGCTCCATCCACTCCCTGGAATAAAGGAGTGGTGTTTTTTTCATTCCTCACTCACTCATTCTTCCATCCCTGGTGTGCCAGGCCCCGTTTTGGTGCTGGAATAGAGTCATAAGCAAGACAGACATAGTCCCCACCTTCAGAAAGCTTTTGTTTGGTGCAATGGTGTGGAAATGCATCTTGAATATTACAGAGGAACAATTTGGAGTGGAGCTCAAGTCATTCCAGAAACTCCCACTTTTTAAAAATTTTATTTTATTTTGTATTTTTACATACATTTTTTGAGACAAGGTCTTGCTCTGTTACCCAGTCTGGAGTGCAGTGGTGCAATCATAGCTCACTACAGCCTATACCTCCTGGGTTCAAGTGATCCTCCCATCTCAGCCTCCCAGGTAGCTGGGACCACAGGTGCATATCACCAAGCTCAGCTAATTTTAAAACTTTTTTTGCAAAGATGGAGTCTCTCTATGTTTCCCAGGCTGGTCTTGAAATCCTGGCCTCAGGGGATCTTCCCTTCTTGGCCTCCAAAAGTGTTGGGATTACAGGTGTGAGCCAACACATCCAGCTGTCCCCACTTAAAATTTTTTTTTTTTTTTTTTTTTTGAGACAGAGTCTCACTCTGCTGCCCAGGCTGGAGTACAGTGGTGTGATCTTGGCTCACTGCAACCTCCACCTCCTGGGTTCAGGTGATTCTCCTGCCTCAGCTACCCGAGTACCTGGGACTACAGGAGTGCCCCATTAAGCCAGGCTAATTTTCTATTTTTAGTAGAGACGGGGTTTCACCATGTTGACCAGGCTGGTCTTGAACTACTGACATCAAGTGATCCACCTGCCTTGGCTTCCCAAAGTGCTGGGATTACAGGGGTGAGCCACCGCACCCGACCCTCACTTTTTATAGGTGAAAAAATATGGAGAATTTGGGGAAATCCCAGGAAGAAGAATGAGTAGTGAGGTGCTGGGAAAACCCTGGGATCATATGAAGTTGCTGTGGAATTTTACAGGAATTGCCCCTCCCTCTCTGTTTGGGTGATCCTTCTCTTTTGGTGGATTTTTTCATTTCAAAATCAGGTCTCTTGCCAGCTTTTAACTACCATTGACTCATAGTTTTTACCTTCACAAAGCTGTTTGCTACCACTATCAATCACTCAGAGTTTAAGAACTTTCTATTTCCACTCCTGATTATTGTCTGTGGGCCTCTTATGACTGCCTGTATCTCTCTAGAATCTTCCAGAAGCAACATGACTCTTTTAGGCCTTTGCTGCCAGCTAAGAAGGTGAAGAAAAGTCACCACTGCAATAAAAAGAGGGCACTTTGTCTTACTTGGCAATAAACCACCACCAGCAGCAGCAGCAATAGCAGCACCCCCACCCCCACCAAACCCAAAACAAACAAGAAAAGCAAAAGGAAACCTGTAAGCAAAGCCCAGGGGAGCTGTGTTGAATGTAGGTCCAGAGTGGGGTTGAGGGCTGCAGCTGGGCACAGGGTGCCTGCGCTCCAGCAAGAGTGCAGGCTGGAAGAAAGTCATTCTTTATCATCTCATTGGCCCTTGGATGGTGTCGAGAAGATTTAGAAATATTTTTATCCTCTTTATTTTTAGTCGTTTTCAGTGAGAGGATTGGCATGAAGAATCCTTGGGACACAGGAATCAATCAAGACCTTTGGATGCCCCTGCCTGCTCTGTCTCTAGAAGCCTCAAGCCCAGCATCCCCATGCCGACGTGCTCATCTCTAGCAAAACACCAGCCTCTCAGCCCTCTCTCCATAAAGGCCACTAGAAAGTACTGTGATGCCAGGCTGCTCCACATCCAGGCAGCCTGGGTGACCACTGCCCTTTATGAGAATCAGAAAAAGCTGTCTCCCGAGTAGTTGGAATTACAGGTGCATGCCACCATGCCTGGCTAATTTTTGTATTTTTAGTAGAGATGGAGTTTCACTATGTTGGCCAGGCTGCTCTTGAACTCCTGACCTCAAATGATCCACCCGACTCGGCCTCCCAAAGAGCTGGAATTACAGGAGAAGCTAAACGTTTTAAAATAAGTATATTATTTCTGAATTACTATAACAGACATGGACTCCATTTGAACAAGATACTTAATTCCATCAAAAACTTGTCAAAATATACAAATTTAGTCACAAGACACTTTACTACCATCTACCAAAGCTGTAGTAAACACACACATTTTCCATCTTTGAAATGAAATAACGTATAATAATGTTTTCCAAAATAACAAAGATGTCTGCAGTGAATAGCACTCCCTTTGATGTGGCAACTGGGTCAATCGTGTTAACAACTGTGAATTCATCTTTTTAAGAAATTCTTTTATTGTTTCTTTTCTTTTCCGCGACAGTCTCACTCGTGTTGCCCCGGCTGGAGTGCAGTGGCGCTATCTTGGCTCACTGCAGCCTCCGCCTCCCGGGTTCAAGCAATTCTCATGCCTCAGCCTCCTGAGTAGCTGGGATTATAGGCACGTGCCACCACACCCAGCTAATTTTTTTGTATTTTTAGTAGAGACGGGGTTTGACCATGTTGGTCAGGGTGGTCTCGAATTCCTGACCTCAGTTGAGCCGCCGGCCTCGGCCTCCCAGGAAGTGCTGGGATTACAGGCATGAGCCACCAGGCCCGGCCTTATTGTTTCTATTTGTAATAAATCTGTTCCCCTTGCTGCTGTCTCTGCGTTAGTTCTCCTCATTTCTAGCTTGGGTGCTGCAGCAGCCTCTGACCGGTCCTTCTGTCTCCAGCCTGACTGCGTTTTCTCGCACCTGCTGGGCTGTCTTAGGGCCCCGATGCCGGTGGCGTTTGCCATTCTCCGTCTGCCTGAGGCGTCCTCCCTCCGTCATCTGACAGGCAAATGTTACAGCCCTTCAAGACTTAGGCATTACCTTTCCCGCGCGGCCTTCCCTTCACTGTGCCTTACAATCTTCTCCATGGCAGGACATAGTGAAACTCCGTCTCTACCACTCCGTCAGTACCTGCCACAGGAAATGGCGGGTTTACGGATTTGTTTATAAGTTTATTTCCCCAATTGGTTGTTTTTCCATCTTGCGGGGTTTACATCGTCTCCTCCTCACTTGCGTGGCAGCCTGGACGCATCTCTATCACAGCACATTACCTCGTTTCGTGACCACAGCGTAGTCTCTTCCCCATCCTCAGACTGAGTTAGGGCCCCTTTGAGTCAGGTATTTGCCTTGCTAATCTTTGTGCCCTCTGTGTCTAATACGGTGCTTGGTCCTGGTAGATTTCTCCTTGCTTGCATAACATGTGTCTTCCTGGCTTATTCGATTTCTGGAAGTCTAGAACTTCTCCCCAGTGTTTCACCTGCCTGCTGAGTCAGGGCTCTCGGCCCGCTGGGGAGCATTTTGCTGCACTTGTCATTAGCCACAAAGCCACTAGGGGGCAGGGAGCCCCCATCCTGCCTCAGATCGGTGCCAAACCAGAACCCGGCAGCCTGCCTTCTGCACGGAAATCAATTCTCTAGGAGCTGATTTGCTGAAAGATCATTTTGCAAAATGGTCAACTCAGCAAATAATCGACTTGCTGAATCTTTGAGGAGTTATTTGCAGCTTCAGTTTTACTTAGAGCAATCCCTGGATGCTTAATATTTCATTTAAGAATGAGTGAGCCTTTTCTTCTCTATTTTGGGGAAACAGTTTCTTGCTGAGCCTCTGCCTCTGTTAGTACCCCAGCGGGGATGAACTGCAGTACCTGGCTTCGGGTTTTTGTCTTTTCATTATAATGAGTTGGTTTTATGTGCGTTGACCTACTGTAAAGGAAGGGTGGGGTTCTTCCAAAATAGATCCTCTTTCAATGAGGAGACAGGTAGAGTGGGACATGGGAAGGGCTTTGTCAGCTTTCCCCATCAAGATGTGTCCTGTGTGTCCCCAAAGCTCTTCTTGAGCCATCCCAGCATAACCAGGGTTTCCCTCAGGTTCATAACAAGGTAGAGCAGTCCTCAAGGCTGGCGCATGAAGACCAGTCCAGGGGGAGGGTGGATCCCTCGGGATGTGATAGGCTGACAGCAGCTCCCCAAAGCCTGTGGTTTTGACTACTGTAGAGACTTCATATCTGAAGCATGCCCCTCTACTTCAGCCACCCCCACTGCTCCTCCTTCTGCGGGGTCCCTTTGGAAAGCTTAGCACCACCTCAGACATTTGGAAAACTAACTTGAGCTCCAGTCCCTCGAGGCCCTAGCCTCTGCATCCTGTGAAGAGGGCCCTGCTGTGCAGAGCGCAGAGGGTCCCGCACTCACTTGGATGAACCTCTAGGGCATTCTGCTCAGTCTCAGGAGGGCAGACACTGTGGGACTCCACTCACATGAGTATCTGACGTTGCCAAAAATCATAGAAACAGGCCGGGTGTGGTGGCTCACACCTGTAATCCCAGCGCTTTGGGAGGCTGAGGCAGGTGGATCACTTGAGGTCAGGAGTTCAAGACCAGCCTGGCCAACATGGTGAAACCCCGTTTCTACTAAAAATACAAATATTAGCCGTGTGTGGTGGCGGGAACCTGTAATCCCAGCTACTCGGGAGGCTGGGGCAGGAGAATTGCTTGAACTCGGGAGGTGGAGGTTGCAGTGAGCCGAGATCACACCATTGCACTCCAGCCTGGGCGACAGAGCAAGACTCTGTCTCAAAAAAAAAAAAAAAATCATAGAAACGGAAAGTAGAACGGTGGTTACCCGGGCTGGGGTTCGGGGAGGTGAGTTGGGGTGTAATGGGGAGAGTTTGGGTGCTGCAGGATGAAAAGTCCTGCAGATCTGGCACACAACCATGTGAATGTACTTTCTACTGTGGGCTATACACTTAGAAATGGTTAGGATGGTACTATTAATGTTACATCATTTTTACCCTAGTAAACATTTTTTAAGAAGTCTTCCTCCGTGTTTGACTTCCTTATGAAGTAGAGACCAGGTAGTTTGGACACTATGTTCTTTCACAAAAGGGATTTCATTTTGTGAAATATTTGAAAGCATCGAAGTCTAGCATTTCACGTTTTGCAAGCTGGGGAAAAGCATTCATTCCCTGAGAAGCAGCGTTGGTCTGTCAGGCTTGGAGTTCCCCGGGTTGTGGGTTTTAGGGAAGGGAAGGGAAGCGAGGAAGGACTTGTGAGAGGAAGTCCTAAAGGCCACTTAAGGGCACACAGAGGCCCGGAGCTGGCTTTGCTCAGAGCTTGTAGCGGCGCCACAATCTCTGTCCTCTCAGGAACAGGAACTGGCTTGACGTCCTTTTCCTGCCCTATCCAAGCCCCTGTTCTTGCAGCCCTTCTGAAGCTCAGCCTGGCACCGGCCCCGGCGCCCCAGCCCCTGGCCAAGCCTCTGCTGTCATTTCTCCTCCCTCCTCTCAGTCTGCAGCTGCGGGACGGGCCGGGCTCCTCAGTTTCTGCTGTGTTGTGACCCCACGAGGCGCTCAGCACCCAGGGAAGGCGCGTGTGTCCCCGATGCTGGCTCCTCCCTGAGCCCCGACGGCTCTCGAGGTTCTGAGCCTGTGGCCTGCACAGGGAACTTCCTCTCCGACTGCATTTATGCCTCTGTGGATGTGAAGGCTATTTCTAGAAATCTCTTCCTTTGCAGAAACACCCGAAACCCTCCTGCCAGGAAGACCAGGGCCTGGGAAGAGGGTCGCTCTCCGGCCATTCTCCCCTCACCCTCCTCACCTTCCTCACATCCTGTGCCCTGGGGGACCAGCAGCTGCTTCCACCCAGGTGAGAGATGGAGGGATAGAGCCAGGTGGATTGCGGAGCCTCGGAGACTGTGGGACGCCGTGGGACCCCATGGGACACGACCGCAGTGCATGTGTGACATGTGCACTCGTGTGTAGATGTGTGTGCACTGGTGCATGGCTGTGGGGGAGGATGGGCTTGGCACCGGGAAGGCAGCCTGCTCAGCCATGGGAGAGGAGGCTGGGTTGAATGGCAGGGTTGAATGGCAGAGTTGAATGGCAGGGGCCCTGGGAAGCTTTCCTCCTGGTCCAAAGCGTGTCTCCCCAGCCTGCTGGGGAGTAGATTCGGCAGGATGGGGACAGAGGCATATTCCCAGACATCTATGAGAGTGGCTGTCCTAAAAGAAGGCGTGTCGGGGAGTGGGTGTGAGCCCTGAAGAGGAGGAGGGCTGAGACTGGCAGAAGGGAGGAAGAAGCAGGCGGAAGCAGCCGGTCAGATGCCCCATGAAGCTAGATGGTGCCGCAGAGCAGCCCCCAGGAGGAAGCCAGCGGAGCTCCTCCCGCAAAGCAGGGGGTGGGGGATGCTGATTTTTCCACGTCTGCTTTTCTGATCTTTCCTGCCCCTTGCACAGTTAGGATTCTGTGAACTGGGCATTGGAGGGATTGGAGGGGTCAAGACCTTACCAAAAGCAATATTTCTGATTTCACCTACATTTCAGCCAACCTGGTCCTCAGCAGTTAACCTCTTCCCTTCCTCTTGATGGTTGCCCTGCTGGGCTGGGTCTAAGGTCTTCCCCACGCTGGGCTCTGGAGGCATCTCCAACCACCCTGCTCTGTAAGTGGGAACTGCGATTAGATGTGGGATGAATCCCCGCATGGCTGGATGCTGTGCTCAGATGCCTGAGTCCACGTTTGCCTTGGGCTGTTTCCTGAGAAGGAGGCAGAGGCTGCCTTTACAGTCTTCAGTGAATTATAGGAAGAACGCTCTCTTTTTCTCTCAGTTGCTCTGCTGGGGTCTCCAGAGTGGCCTGGGAAATTGAGCAGAGGGAAATGTGGGCTGGCAGAGCGTGAGTGAGGGTGAGTTTGGGTACCTTTTTGTCCTTAAGTGCACTTTCTACATGTTGGGGTGAAGTGCTACTGGCTGGGAAGCTGTATGTGTGGTAGGAGTGTGCATGTGCGTGTGTGTATGTGGGTGTGTGTGTGTAGGTCCTGACATCATGTGGAGCTGCAGGCAGGAGTCCAGCCAAGACTCATTGGTTTGGTCATACTCTGCTGGGGAACCATGCAAGGCTGTGTCGCTTAATTGGGAAAGAAATTTCTTTCTTCTTCAGACCTGTGGGAGGCCTCTGCTTCCTTCAGCTTGCTGTTTTCTCACTAGTGTCTTTTTTTCTTAAATTAATTTACAGAGACATCTCACTTCACTTGCATATATATGTGTGTGTGTATGTATATATGTATATATATGTATATATGTATGTATATATGTATATATGTGTATATATGTATATATATGTGTGTATATGTGTGTGTGTGTGTGTGTGAGATATATATATATATATATATATATATATATATATACATGCGAGTGGAACTACAGGCACCCACCACCATGCCTGGCTAATTTTTGTACTTTTAATAAAGACGGGGATTTCATCATGTTGACCAGGCTGGTCTCAAACTCCTGATCTCGAGGGATCTACCTGCCTTGGCCTCTGAAAGTGTTGGGGTTACAGGCGTGAGCCACTGCGCCCGGCCTCCCTCTCAGTTCTAAAAACCGTTTTTCTTCTTTTCTTCACATTTCTGTCTCTCCTGTGATCGTTCATTCCTTTACCTCCACGTATTGGGCATATACTACATGCCAGGCACAATGTTAGGGCCTGGGGACACAGAACAAAACAGGCATGTTTGGAGTTTCAGCACATGCTGTTATGGAGCTTTGTACCAAGGGTAGTACAGAGAACATTTAGACATTTAAAAATAAAATTAATAAATAATTATAAAATATAAATAATATCAGATAGAATCAATGTTATGAAGAAAATTGAGGAGAGAGAGGAGATAGGGCATTAGTGTGAGAGCTTCTCTCCATAGGGTGTATCTGGGTGAAAGATGCTCTTAGAAGATCCCCGGTGCTGATTAGGTTTGAACCCACCGGAAATATTTTTCCCCTGGTGGACCGGTTCTGAGGTTCTGAGGTGTCTGAAGCTGCGGTGGGCTCTGCCCCGTGCCGTGCAGCCATCCAGATGATTCCAGAGAGAGGCCTCTGCCAAGGCCCTTGTGGGCTTTGCCTCGCCCTTTTCGAAAGTGGGCCCTGCCACTGCCTTTACTACCTCCCTGGGTCATTCCCTGCAGTGCAGCCTCTCCCCTGAGTGCCACAGACCCCATTTTTTGAAAAGGTATGAACCACCAAATTGCTGCACAGAAAAAGGGCTTTCCCACTCTTCACTTTCTTCGGCGTATCTGCTGCATTTTGCTTGTTCTTCAAGTCAATAACCATCAACTCAGAAACAAGTATTTATCAGATACTTTCTTTATGTTGTAGATACAGTGGTGAGAAAAACAGAGCAAGTCCTTATTCTCATGGAACTCACCTGTAGTGGTGGCAGACTAAAAAGCACTAAGCAACTAAATGCAGATGTGAAGGGTGACAGTAGTGGGTGTTGGGTACGGGGCGGGGGGCACAGAGGAGTCACGACTCTTAGGGTGGCAGTGGTGGGTGCTGGGTATGGGGCGGGGGTGCCCGTGGGGCATAGAGGGGTGGACAGCTCTTAGGGTGGCAGTGGCGGGTGCTAGGTATGGGGTGGGGGTGTCAGTGGGGCACAGAGGCATGGACAGCTCTTTAATAGCGGGTGGAGGCTGGAGAGGGCCTCCTGTACTAAGGGGACAGTGTGATAGAGACCTAAGGGAAGTGCTCAGGCACATGTCTTGCACATGTCTGCAAGGGACAATGCCCCAGTTCAGATGAACAGCAAGCATGTTTGAAGTACAGCGCAGGCTGATGTGACTATGGCACACAATGTGAGGGGAAGGGGGTGGGAGATGAGGTCAGAGAGCAGCTGGGCACAAGGTAGGGTCTCGTGACCACTATAAAGGCTTTGCCTTTTACTTTGAATGGGTGGAGAGTCACTGGGGGTGGGGGGAGGTTTAGAATGAAGCGTGACATTACCTGTCTCTTGTTTTAACAGGAGAGGAGAACTGTGGCTATTGGTGGACAATAGACAGCTGGAGAAGGGTGGAAACCGGGGAGCAGTGTTAATATTACTGCAAAAGTCCAAAGAGGAGCTGATGACCAGTTCAATCTGGAAAAGTTAGGAAAGGCTTGACATGGAGCCTCAGAGTCCTTGGGCTAAGTGATGGAGAATGGGTAGGAACGTTCCAGGCAGACAGGAGGATGGGGTGCAGGCAAGGGTGTGCTGGACCATCTGGGAAGCTGTAGCTAAGGTGTCAGTGGAGAGATGGGGCCTTGATTGTGGAAGGTACCACAGTAACAGGCTGCACATTCTTTTTGAGCCTACAGGAACACTTACAAAAATTTCACTGAGCCAAAAAGCAAATCTCAACCAATGACAAATAGTTTATACAGACATTGTTCTCTGGCCACAATGCAGCATTTGAAATAAAAAGGTAGTAGATGTCTCAATACATTTTTAAATTTAGTAATCACTTACTTTTGGGTCAAAAAGAAATCATACTTGAAATTAGAACATATTTAAAACTGGTCAACAGGCCGGGCGCAGTGGTTCACGCCTGTAATCCCAGCATTTTGGAGGCTGAGGCGGGTGGATCACCTGAGGTTGGGAGTTCGAGACCAGCCTGACCAACATGGAGAAACCCCATCTCCATTAAAAATACAAAATTAGCCAGGTGTGGTGGCGCATGCCTGTAATCCCAGCTACTCGGGAGGCTGAGGCAGGAGAATCGCTTGAACCCGGGAGATAGAGGTTGCAGTGGGCCAAGATCGTGCCATTGCACTTCAGCCTGGGCAACAAGAGCGAAATTCCATCTCAAAAAAAAAAAAAAAAACCAAAAAACAAAAAACTGGTCAACAAAAAAGAATGGAGGAAAAAACAACAAAAAATGGAGGGAAAACAACAACAAAGCTATAAATGCAATGCAATGGCATTCAGCATTTCAACAGGACTTAAAGAAATTGACAGCTGATTTTTAAAAGTCCTATACCAGATTAAAGAGCTGAGAGGAGCCAAGACAGTTTGGAATAATAGCAAGGTGTTGGGAGTTGCTCAGTCAGTTAACTAAGACTTATTTTAAAGTTATACTAAAGTTACAGGAGTTAAGTAATATTGGCATTTAGAAATGAAGATGTTCTGGTTCAGGAATACACTAAAAGTCCAATGGACAAAACAGAGAACCTAGGGATAGAACTGTGGACCTACGGGCACTTGGCGTCTGATAGAATCATTGGAGGAATCATGGACTATTTAGTAAATGGTGCTGGGAAGCTTGACTCTTCATGTGGGATCATTTAGGAATGCTCATTTTTAACTAAAGGTGGCTTAAACCAGAGCTTGTTAAATTTGAATGTGCACGAGGATAACCTGGGTCTTGTTAAATTGTAGATTCTGATTCAGTACATCTGGGGCAGGGTCTGATTCTGCAGTTCTAATGAGATCCCAGTTCTTGGCGATGTTGCTACTCTGTGAATTGCACTTTGATTAACAAGCTCTTAAATCATCAGAATATTAAGTGCTCATTTAACAAAGAGTTGGTCTCTGGGATATTCTGGGAGCTCAGTGACAGCAGCAGAAATCCAGGTGCCTTTTATCTTTCTGCTTGGTGGCACAGGTTGACTTTTTGTTTTAATATTTGTGACCTTATTGCCCCATACTATCTGCCACAATTCCAGATATCACACTTCAATCCCATGCAAGAAGTGGGAGGAGATGACAACAGGAACTGTCTACTTGAGTCTGTCTCTATCACCAAGGAAATAGTACTAATATTCCCAGAAGTTCCAAGCAGACTTTCATGTAACTGTCATCTGGTAGAGCTGGGTCACATAGACAACCCTAGTTAGAAGGGAAGCTGGGAGACAGAGTGTATTAGTTTCCTATTGCTGCTGTAACAAATTGCCACAAACTTAGTGGCTAAAACCCCACCAATTTATTTTACAGTTCTGGAGGTCAAAAGTGCTGAAATCAAGGTTTTCTGGGCAGCAATATGGTCCTTCTGCAGGTTCTATGGAATAATCCATTTCCTCACCTTTTCCAGCTTCTAGAAGCCACCTTCATCCCCTCAACTCCTGGCTCCTGCTCCTTCCTCTGTCTTTAAAGCTAGCAATGTGGCATCTTCAAGTCCCTCTGTCTCTGTGACCTCTGCCTCTGTCCTCCTGTCTCCTTCTCACTCTGACTTTCCTGCATCCCTGTTATAAGGACCCTCCTACAGACCACTGAGCCCACCTGGATGATCCAAGATTATCTGTCTCAAAATTCTTAATAACATTGGCAAGGCCCCTTTTACCATGTAAAGTAACACAGCCACAGATTCTAGGGATTAGCATGTGGACACCTTGGGCGACCATTCTGTCTACAACAGAAAGTACTTAGATTCCCCCTCTCCAGCATTTATAGTGGGCGATGTGTAAAAGAGAAGGGGATTAGTTTGTTTAGCCAATCAACAGTGTCATTTTTTTCAATATGGAAAAATGTTAAAATTAGTTGCCTACCTCATACTATACACAAAAGCAAATTCCAGAGAGATTAAAGTTCTAAATTGTGTAAGAAATATTTAGAAGAAAATAAAGAATATCTCTTTGATGTCATGATAAAAACAGAATTTTTAAATTAAAAAATGCACAGTGTGCTGAGACCAGCTCAGTCGTGGAGACCCCAACCCAGTGGTGCTAGAGGAATGAAGACACAGACACAGAAACAGAGTGCAGAGTGGGATCAGGGGGCTGACAGCCTTCACAGCTGAGAGCCTTGAACAGAGTTTCACCCACCTATTTATTGACAGTAATCCCGTGATAAATATCTTTTCTGCAGTTTATAGATTAACTAAAAGTATTCCTTAAGGAGAACAAAGGGACAGGCTCTGGCTTGTTATCTGCAGCAGGAACATGTCCTTAAGGCACAGATTGCTCATGCCATTGTTTGTGGTTTAGGAACACCTCGAGCGATTTTCCGCCCTGGGTGGGCCAGGTGTTCCTTGCCCTCATTCAGGTAAACCAGCAACCTCCAGCGTGTGTGTCATAACCATCATGAGCATGTCACAGTGCTGCAGAGATCTTGTTTATGGCCAGTTTCTCATGGCCTGTTTATGGACAGGCTTGGGGCCTGTTCCCAGCAACAATGCTTAAATTATGAAAGAAAGGGTTGATAAGAGTGGATTAAAATTTAGTGTTTTTGTGTGTATGACAAAAGACATATTTAGAAACCTAAAAATAGGCCACAGACTGTGAAAAGATCTATGAGATGTGTAGAATCAACAAAGGTTTAGTAACCAGAACATATACATCATTTCTACAAAGCAATAAATTATACTAAATATCCATAGGGACAACTGGGAAAAGAATATTAACTAAAAATTCACAGAAGGGCCAGTCCAAATAACCAACAAGCACATGAAAAAATGTAAAACGTAAACTCTGACAGCTGAAAACATTCGTGAAATACTGTTTTACCCCTGTCAGATTGGCAAGATCTTGAAGGTCTGATGAGATTAAGGTCTGAAGAGATGCAGACATCCTGAGGCCAAAGCCCCAGCAAGCTCCACAGGCTCCACCTTGCTCATGGGCAGTTCTTTGAGCTGCACTCGGCCACTCTCCACTCCAGCTGCACTGCCTTCCCTGCTCCTTCCCCAACAGGCCCTGGCCTTTGAACTTGCTGCTCCCTCTGCCTGCAACACTCTTTCCTCAGAGAGCCATATGCCTGGCTCCTTCACCTCCTCACCACTTCTGTCTTGCTTAGATGTAAGGCACTGAGCACTTTAGCACCTTTCCCATGTGTGTTAGCCAGGGTTCTCTAGAGAAACAGAATGAATGATGTGTGTGGTGTGTGTGTGTGTGTGTATGTGTAAGATACTTATTTGAGGAATTGGCCTTCATGATTGTGGAGGCTTGGTGAGACCAAAATCTGATAGGGGAGGCTAGCAGGCTGGAGACTCAGGAAAGAATTGCAGTTTAGGTCCAAAGGCAACCTGCTGTAGAACCAGGAAGAGCCAATGTGGCAGATGAAGTCCAAAGGCCATCTGCCAAATGATTCCTTCTTGCTTGGGGCAGGTAAGCCTTTTATTCTAATCAGGTCTTCAACTGATTGGATGAGGCCCACCCCCACAAGTGAGGGCAATCTGCTTTACTCAGAGTCCACTGATTTTAATGTAAATCTTATCGCAAAACACCCTCACAGAAACATTTGGAATAATGTTTGCCTAACTATCTAGGCTCCATGACCCAGACAAATTGACTCACAAAATTAACCAGCACATGTCCTCACCTTATCCATCTGGAATCCATACACTTCTCCATAAATGACACTTAATCTCCCAATTAAAGACAATAACAAGGTCATAAATCCATCTAACATGATACAACTGTCCTGCATACAACTGATATGCACTAATTCCTTCTCCAGAAAAAGAAATAAAGTCTTTTTATCCTTCTCTTTGATATCCTGTAACTTAAGTACTATGATGTAAAGTTAACCATACTTAAATATTATAATATAAAATCAATACATCTTTTGTTACATGTTAGAGGGATAAGAGAGGGAAGAAAACAGAGATATTTTACACACATACATTCATTACAAAGTAAGGAGGAAATACTCATAACAATTATAATCCTCATTCCTGTAACTAGTCACGTGGTCATAACTGGTATTGATAACTACCTCCTTTTACCACCCATGCTATTTTCCCTTTACCATCATCAGTGAGCTCAGCTGGTTGTGGTTCTTTATCTGGGGAGGTGGAGGGTGACCCAGACCTTTATTCCTTAAAAATCTGAGTTATTAGTAGCCCTGCCTGGATTGGGTTGTTGTAATTTTCCATTGACTTTAATCACAGGACGTGGCTACACTAAGAGATGCCCTAAGGGATTTCCTGTATTCCATATTCTTTCTTACCTCCATTGTAGAGTAGTAGTCCAATTTCCCCTTGGTAGTAAGGATCAATCACCCCACCCAATACCAAAACTCCCTTCTTGATGTTGATTGAGAGGCATGAGGAGCCCAAAGTGGCCAGGTGGCATTCTTAACTTCTAGTTCAATGGAGTCATTGTTGTATCTCCAAGTGGAAGCATTTCTTTTTTTGGAACTAAGACCTCTAGGCCAGCATAAGACCTTGAGGATGCGAAGTAAAAATGTTGCTAGTGGGTCACTAGGAGTAATAGTGAGTGGTACCACTCCTGTTTCTACCCCTTGATTCCTGGATCCATGAATCTTGGCTATGGGAGAAACAGCATCATATATTGGATGCTGATCCGGAGCATATAGAGCCTCCTAGAGAACCTTGCCCCAGTCCTACAAGGTGGTATTGTCACGTAGCTGGTGCTATAACTGAATCTTCAGAAGGCCATTCCACTTTTCTATCAATTCCGCTCCTTCAGGATGGCAGGGAACATGGTAAGACCAGTGAATTCCATGAACATGGGCCCATTGCCTCACTTTTTTTGCTGTGAAGTGAGTTCCTTGGAGTGAGTTCCCGTGAAGTAAGCCTGTATGGAAAATCATGGCAATAGGTAAGGCATTATGTAAGCCCAAGGATTGTAGTTTTGGCAAAAGCATTGTGTGCAGGGAAGGCAAATCCGTATTCAGAGTAAGTGTCTATTTTGATAAGAACAAAACACTCCCTCTTTCATGACTGAAGTGGTCCAATGAAATCAATCTGCCATAGGTAGCTTGCTGATAACCCTGGGGAATGATGCCATATCAGGGACTTGGTATTGGCCTCTGCTGCTAGTAGACTGGGCACTCAGTGGTGGCCATAGCCAGATTGGCCTTAGTGAATGGAAGACCATGTTGCTGGGCCCATGTATAATCTCCACCTCTGCCATCATGGCCACTTTGTTCATCAGCATATTGGATGATGTCAGGGGTGGCTGGGGGAAGAGGCTGACTGGGATCCACAGAATGGGTCATTTTATCCATTTGATGATTATTTTAATAAAATCTTCCTCTGCTGAAGTCACCCTTTGGTAAGCATTCATATGGGACTAAATGTCTTCATGTTTTCTTCATGTTTTTCACCCATTCTGAGAAGTCTACCCACATACTTCTTCCCAAGACTTCCTTGTTACCAATTTTCTAATCATGTTTCTTCTAGGTCCTTGACCATCCAGCCAAACCATTGGCCACAGCCTATGAATTGGTATATAATTATACTTGCCATATCTCCTTTTAAACAGAATGAACAACCAGGTACACTACTTAAAGTTCTGCCCATTGGGAGGATTTTCCTTGACTACTGTCCTTCAGAAATGTCCCAGATTGGTGCTATAGTGATGAAGCTGTCCACTTTGGGTAGTGCCTGCATATTGTGCAGAACTATCTGTAAACCAGCTCTGAGTTTTCTCTTCCTCTGTCAATTCATTGTAGGAAACTCCCCTATGAGGTCATGAGTGCAGATTGGGAGAGAGAAGGCAGTATAGCAGGAGTAGGTATCATGGGCATTTGGGCTACTTTTTCATGTAACTTGTGCATTTAGGGCCTACTTAGGCCCAATCTCATATATACCACTTCCATTGGATGATGGAGTCCTTCCGTGCACACCTGACTTTACTGTATACTCAGGTTGCATGTCAACTTGGTGGCCCATGGCTAAGTGTTCAGTGTCTACTAAGGCCCAGCGGCAGGCCAAAAGCTGTTTCTCAAAAGGTGACTAGTTATTCATAGACAATAGCAAGGCTTTGCTCCAAAATCTTTAGGGTTTGTACTGTGAGTTATCTATAAGGGCCTGCCAAAGGCTCCACACAATATCCCATATTGGCTACTGATACCTAAGCACCATTGGAGCTAATAAATTATATGCTCAAACCATATCAGGATAATGCTGACATAACAGATGGTCTAGCCTGGAAAATTCTCTATGTGCTTATAAGAAGAAAGTGCATTGTGTAGCTGTTGGAGGAAATGTTCTGTAAACATCTGTTAAGTCCACATGATCTGTGGTGTAGATTAAGTCCTATGTTTCTTCATTAATTTCCTATCTAGATTATGTGTCCAATGTTGAAACTGGGGTATTAAAGTCTCCACCTATTATTGTATTGGGGTCTAGCTCTCTCTTTAGCCCTAATAATATTTGCTTTACCTGTCTGTATTAGGTGCACATACATTTATAGTTATTATACTCTCTTGCTCAGTTGATCTATCATTATATAATAACCTTCTTCGTGTCTTTATGTTTTTTATTTAAAGTCTATTTTGTCTGATGTAAGTATAGCTACTCCTGCATGTTTTTGGTTTCTGTTTGTGTGCGATATGTTTTTTTTAATCCCTTCACTCTCATTCTATGTGCTTTACAGAGGAAGTGAATTTCTTGTAAGCAGCATATAGTTAGGTCTTGTTTTATATTCCATTCAGCCAGTCTATACCTTTAAATTAGTGAATTTAATCCATTTACATTTAAGGTTGTTACTGATAGATGAACTTACTCCTGTCATTGTTTTGCTTTAAATTGGTGAATTTAATCCATTTACATTTAAGGTTGTTACTGATAGATGAACTTACTCCTGTCATTGTGTTGTTTTTGGATTGTTTTGTATATCCATTTTGTCTCACATGTCCATGTGTAGAGAGTCCACCAACAGGCTTTGTGTGAGCAAGAAGGCTGTTTATTTCACCTGGGTGCAGGTGGGCTGAGTCCGAAAAAGGAGTCAGCAAAGGGTGGTGGGATTATCATTAGTTCTTATAGGTTCTGGGATAGGCGGTGGAGTTAGGAGCAGTGTTTTGTGGGCAGGGGGTGGATCTCACAAAGTACATTCTCAAGGGAGGGGAGAATTACAAAGAACCTTCTTAAGGGTAGGGGAGATTATAAAGAACCTTCTTAAGGGTGGGGGAGATAACAAAGTACATTGATTAATTAGGGTGGGGCAGAAACAAATCACAATGGTGGAATGTCATCAGTTAAGGCTATTTTCACTTCTTTTGTGGATCTTCAGTTGCTTCAGGCCATCTGGATGTATATGTGCATGTCACAGGGGATATGATGGCTTAGCTTGAGCTCAGAGGCCTGACACATTGTTCCTTTATTTTACTCTTATTGTTTATCCTTGAAATTTGGTGGTTTTCTATAGTAATAACATTTGATTCCTTTCTCATTCTCATTTGTATATCTGCTCTACCAATGAGTTTTGTACTTTGTGCATTTTCATGGTGGTAGATACTGTCCTTTCACTTTCACATGTAGGACCCCATTAAGCATTTCTTGTAGGGTTGGTCCAGTGGTAATAGATTACCTCAGTTTTTGTTTGTATGGGAAAGGCTTTATTTCTTCCTCATTTCTGAAGGATAGTGTTGCTGTGTATAGTATTCTTGGCCAAAAAATTTTTTTTTCCAGTACTTTGAATATATCATCCCATTCTCTCCTGACCTGCAAGGTTTCTGCTAATAAAACATGGTGTTAGTCTGATGGAGATTCCTTTATATGTGACTTGAGACTTTTATCTTGCTGTTTTTAGAATTCTTTCTTTGTCTTTGACTTTTGACAATTTGACTACAATATGTTTCAGAGAAGATGTTTTTGGATTGAATCTATTTGAGAATCTTGAATTTCCTGTGTCTGAATGTCTACATCTCTCACAATACTTTGGAAGTTTTCAGCTATTATTTATTACATAGATTTTCTGTGACTTTTCCCATCTTGTATCTTTCTGGAACTCTCAAAATTCAAGTATTTGTTTACTTTATGGTGTCCCATATGTCATATAGGCTTTCTTTATTCTTAAAAAAGTTTTTTTTATCCAGACTGAATTATTTTAAAAGACCTGCCTTCAAGTTCAGAAATTCTTTCTTCTGCTTGATCTAGTCTATTTTTGAAGCTCTTGGTTATATTTTTTTATTTTGTTCATGGAATTATTCAGGTCCAGGATTTCCATTTGGTTCCTTTTTTTTATAATATCTATCTCTTTATTGAATTTCTCATTCAGATCATGAATTGTTTTTTCTGATTTCTTTGTATTGTCAATCTGTGTTCTCTTTTATATTGTTGATGTTCCTTAAGATCATTATTTTGAATTCCTCTTCAAGCATTCCAATATTTTCTTTTCTTTGGGATCTGTTACTAGAGAATTATTGAGTTCCTTTGGAGATACTATGTTCCCTTGCTTTTTAATGTTTCTTGTGTTTTTGCACTATGTGCATCTGGTGTAACAGTTGCTTCTTTCAATTTTATGCATTGGCTTTCACAGGGAAAGACTTTTTTCTGTACACATATCTCTAGTGTTGATTGGGTAGGGTGCTTTGGCTTTGATTCTGGGTAGGTGCAGTAGTGTAGTCTTCATATGATTTCTTTGGCTGTAATCAATGTCAGTGATGTCTGCAAGTTCCTCAGTGGTTTAGCCTGTGGTTGTTAGTGAAGGCTGTGGTAAGATTTCCTGGGGATAGAGATACCAAGTGGGCTCACCCTTGGGCCCTGGGTGATGCACATGAGCACCAGTATTGGTGACTATGGGCTATGTGGGTCAGTACTCAGTCCTCTGAGTGGCATATACAAACACTGATAGTGGCAGGTGGAGGACCCGAGTAGGCCAGTATTTGGGCTCCCAGGTGGTGTGTGTTGGCCACAGCAACAGGTTTGGTGGGCCAGTCTTTGGGCCCCTGGATGATATATGTAGCATTGGCAGTGCCAGTAGCAGTGGTGGGCCAGCCCTTAGACCCCCAAGTGGCATGCATGGGCGCTGGTGGTGGCAGTAGTGGGCTGAGCTGGCTGGAACCTAGGCCCCTGGGCAGTGTGTATAGGTGTCAATGGCAGCAGTGATAGGCAGGATAAAGTAAATTATTTTACTACTACTTGTTATTTTCAATATTTGGAGTAGTTTCTAGGGTAAACTTTCCTCATACAGAGTTTACATTAGCTTCAGATGGACACATAAGTATGATAAAAAGGAAAAGAACCTAAAATGCTCATTTACATGTAATAAAAACACTACAAATTGATACGATTCTTTGTAGACGGCAGATCATTTTCCAATCATCATTTTGCATATTTTCCCACTTATTTTAAGGACTATGTTATTCTTACTTAATGAAAATATATTTTACAAGAGAAGTTATTGCCAGATGATGCAAATGTATGTGTGTATGAGGAAATTATGGGCTGAACATGGTGGCTCATGTCTGTAATCCTAACACTTTGTGAGGCCAAAGCCAGAGGATTGCTTGAGGCCAGGAGTTTGAGACCCACCTGGGCAACATAGAGAGACCCCATCTCTACAAAAGATTTTAAAAAATTAGTTGGGCATGGTGGTGTGTGCCTGTAGTTCTAGATAATCTGGAGGTCGAGGCAGGAGATGACTTGAGCCCAGAAGGTTGAGGATGTAGTGAGCTGTGGTCCCACCACTGCACAACAACCTGGGCAACAGAGAGAGACCTTGTCTCTAAAACAGAAAAAAAAGAAAAGAAATTATAGGCATATTTTAACAATTTATGTTAAATGTGCTATTTATGTATGATGGAGCCACAGATGGAGCCAGATTGTTTTCTTTAAAATTTTCTAAATATACCAAATTCTTTAGAATAAACACTAAACTTCATAATCAGAAAAATATAAAGAATGAAGAGGTTATGGCACAGAGTGATCAGATAATGAGTGTAAGCACATTGTGAATTGGCAGCTAAGGGATCTTTGCCCTCTGCTGGAGCAGTTTTGATGGAGTGGTACCAATCTGTCCCAGTGACTGACTCCTCCCTGGACTCCCACAACATTGTCCTCATGTGTGTCACATTCTTATCTGCTTGCTGCATCTATGCCTTTTATTTGTTGTTGTTCAGTCTTTTCATACAAGTGACAAAAAGGATGCTGGAGCAGGCTTGGTGAGAACAGGAAGGGAACCCATCAAGGGGCAGAGACACTAGAAAGGGTGTGAAATAACATGAATAACTTTCTGACTTCACCATGGACCATGGAGGGGTGGCCATCCAAGAGGGTGCTGTACGAAGCTTTCATAGGGAGAGCCACTCTCTTGTAGATCTGCATAGGTAAACCTTCCCAGGTGAGGGCATCATGGCCAGCTTTGCAGTCTTGGAAACTAAGTTTTTAAAGAGAGGAACACAGGATCCCTGGTGTAACCCTGTGTGGGAATCACAGCTACTTGCTGATGTACCCTAAAGGGAAAACCTGTGATTATGGTAGAGGGGAGTTTTTTTCCTCGCAGCGACAGTTTTGCCATGAATTTCCAGGCCTCACTTGATTTCAGGTCAGGGTCTCTTGGGCAATCCAGAAGAAATTGTACAAGGCAGGATGACTGAACAGGTACAGCAAATCAGCTCAAAACATATGTCAAACAAGGTGGGGCCTGAATAAATAAATACAGATGAGTAGTTCACTTGGCTGGAGCATACAGTGTGTTGAGGAGAGTGGCTACAAGTAGAGCTGACTCTGTGGGCTGGAAACAGATTGCAAAGAGCTTGGCACATTAGCTCAAGAGTTTTGGGTTTGACTTGCCTGGCAGGTGGAAGCCTTTGCAGGGAGAATATTAAATCCAAGCAGCACTATCTATATACTGAAATCGTACCACTTTGCATTTAGGTAATATGTGGAAACTTGCAAGGTACTTTCTCATTTGTCATCTCATTTGAGTTTTATAAAAATATCCTTGAAGTAGGTAATACCGCTTCTATCTTATGGATTAGGACACTGAGACTCAGAATGGTTAAGTGGCCTCTACAGATCTCAGCTAATGCGTGCAGAGCAGAAGGTGAACCAGGTCAGAGTCCAAGACCATGGTCATACCCACCACATCATGCTTCTCTGTTAACTTCACCTGGCACTGGGTGCATCACGAGTCCCACAAATGAAGTTTTCTAGTTTGTCTTCTGTGATATTATTTTCAGAGTATCATGTATACCATATATTATATTTGCTTGTATGCTCTAGACATTTCATTGCATTTTATAGGGCAATGCTTCCCAAACTTGGCTACTCATTAGAATTACTGTGACATTTGATGAATACAGATTTCTAGGATCTTTCCTTTGAGATTCTGATTTAATAGGTGTAGGTTGGGTCCCAGAGATCTGTATTTTTTAAACATCTGACCATTACTATTAATTATGAGATTTCCTTCAACTTTGAAACATGCTTATTTAGTATGGTTTCTAACATATCTGACTTCTTGTGGTTCCTAATGGTAAAAAAAAAAAAAATTTAAGGAACTAAAAGAGATCTCTAGGTTTGTCTCAGAGATGAGGGAACAGGAAGATCCTGGGAAAGTGTTTCTTGTTCTAATCTAGTCTGGGTCTAGAACTTCAGTAGCTCAAATTCATTGGCGGCAATTTGAGTCAAAAAGAGAATGTCTTTTCTTGCTGTTTTCCTGTCCACTCTGTGTGGGAGTTGAACATTAATGTGTTGTTTTCTGTCCCAACAGAACAAGCGGGAGCCTGTGTCAGGAAAGCATGTCAGAGCAGAGCTGCCAGATGTCCGAACTGCGGCTCCTCCTCCTGGGAAAATGCCGCTCGGGAAAAAGTGCCACAGGAAATGCCATTCTGGGCAAACATGTGTTCAAGTCCAAGTTCAGTGATCAGACAGTGATCAAAATGTGCCAGAGAGAGAGTTGGGTCCTGAGAGAAAGGAAGGTTGTGGTAATTGACACCCCTGACCTTTTCTCCTCAATAGCTTGTGCTGAAGACAAGCAACGCAACATCCAACACTGCTTGGAGCTCTCTGCTCCCAGCCTCCATGCTCTGCTCTTGGTAATTGCCATCGGCCATTTCACAAGGGAGGATGAGGAAACAGCCAAGGGCATCCAACAAGTGTTTGGAGCTGAAGCCAGGAGGCACATCATTATTGTCTTCACTCGGAAGGATGATTTGGGGGATGACTTGCTGCAAGATTTCATTGAAAAAAACAAACCTCTCAAGCAGTTGGTTCAAGACTATGAGGGCCGATACTGCATTTTCAACAACAAGACCAATAGTAAGGATGAGCAGATCACCCAGGTGTTGGAGCTCCTTCGCAAGGTTGAGTCTTTGGTGAATACGAACGGAGGACCCTATCATGTGAACTTCAAAACTGAAGGCAGCAGGTTTCAAGTAAGAATTTTGTTAATATCTTGAAAGATCTCTATGTTGCTGAACTAGTGGGATGAAAGTGGGTATAAATAAATGAAATATTGCATTGTGTGATGGAACATGGGTTTTGTTTAATAAGATATTTATATATAATTTGCAGGAATAAGAGGTATCAGATTTTAGGGTACTTTAATTATCAGCCTAAGGACTTTAGGCTTTATTAGCAAATTAATGGACAAATTTAAGCCTTTATCTTACTTGGTCCCTCATATTCTTCAACACACAATGATTTGTTTGACTCTCTCTTCCCCTGACTTCAATATAATTGCCCTCTCCTTGTTCATTTGTTTTATTTTTCCCTCTTTTTCTGGCTATTCCAAAGATCGCTGAGTCCTTCTCTAATCTCTGACGTCTAAAAATGAACATCCTCAGGGCTTGGTTCTGGCCTTCCTCAATTCTTTGTACTCTCTTCTCAGATGATCCCACACTTTTATGGCATTGAGCTTCATCTACTACTAACGGTTTTCAAATGAGTAGTAACTCTAGTCCAAATCTGTCCTCTGAGTTCTGCCTCCTTTACACAATTGCTGCTTGGGGTCTCCACTTGTCTCTCTTATACTTTCTCACACTTAATATGTCCAAATTTTTGATTTTCTCTTTTAAATCTATAAGACTTCTCCTTCATGCTTCAGAAAAGGGCTGTGCTGTTCACCATGCTCTTTGTACCCACACCCCAGTGTCAGCTCTGCTACCCTGGTAGCTCCCCTTGGAGAGCCAAGAAATCATCAGGTCTTGCGGGATCAATATACCCAGAATCCACCTGCTTCTCTCCATCCCACTCCCACCACCTGGTCCAAGCCTACATCGTTTCTTGCCTAACCTATTTTAACGTAATGATTTTCTCCTCATGTATTCTTGGGCTGTATCCCACAACCCATCTCACACATTACAGCCAGGGTGAGATTTTATTTAAGCTTTTGATGTGAAAGGAAAATGTATTTGTAACTAAGGAAGATACAAAAATGCAGTCTTTTGCCTTAGAGGTGCTTACACTTTAACTGGAGTGGCTGATGCATAAGAAACAAAGCACTCCTGGCTGAGTGTGAGGGGGATGCTAGCACAGAGGATTTGGCAAGGGGAAGCCCCAGAGGGTGTACAGCAGGCACACACTGAGCCTGATGCGTAACATCAGTTACGCATGTCCGTACTATGGAATAAATTCTATCTACTTAAAGAATGATGTAGTTCTATCTATATTGACTCCTACAGATGTACAGAATGCATTATTAAGCAGATTGTAGAACATATAACTTAATAAGTCTCCATATGTTCATGTATGCTTGTATGTATTTGTATGAACATAGAAAAAGTTAGAAGGATATATACCAGTTAACAACTGTTACTTTCTGGTCAGAGAGAGACTGCTCAGAGGGAAGAGTAATAAGCCCAAGCAGCATGGAAATAAGAGAGAAATCATTTACTGAATGCCCACTAAATTCCAGACAAAGACATAAACTAATTAAGTCCTCGTGACAACCCTATGGACAGATGCTCTACACATGAGGAAACTGAGGCTCAAGAGGGCTGAAGACACTTGCTCTCTTATCTCCTAGCCTGAGTGCTCCCTCCTCTGTGACAATCTGTCTCTTCCTTGAGGGCTGCATGGAACAGGGATGTTAATAAAGAGAAGAATGGGTGTGTAGTAAGTTTCCTACAATGAAACCCTCTGGTTTTACATGCTCCAGTGACTTCCTGCTGATCATAAGGTAAAGTTCAGAACTCTTAATTTGGCTTGACTCCTTGCCCTGTGCTCCGCTGTCTATGCCTTGGTCCTGCTGGCCTTCCTGTTTGCCCCTGAGTTACACTCACATCCACTCCTGAGCCTCAAGCCTGTGATTCTCTCTGCACTGACACTTGCTCTCCCCCATCCCACCCTGTACCAGGTTTGCTTTTATTTCTCCATCTGCATCAGCTAAAAGTCACTTCCTCAGGGAGTCCTCCCTGACCATCCTGGCTCTCAGGCCTTGGAATGAGCCCCACAGCTTCCTTTCCTCATGGCAATGTCACCACCACATCAAGTGATTTCACTGGTTGTCTACCTACCCACTCCATGAGGGCAGAAGAAATCATATCTGTTTTGTTGACTATAGCATCTCAGTTTTGTCTTCTGTAAAGCAGAGATAATAATCACATGTATGTCAGGAATTGCTGTGAGAATTAAATGAAATGCTTACAAAGTCGTTAACAAATGCTTGAAACTTGGTAGGTGTTCAGTAATGCTGTTATTATGATGATGATGAAAATGCCTGAGGATTAAATAAATTAAGGAATCATTAAGAACTTTAACAGCCCAGAGACTGAGTTAGAGCCATACTTTTAGAACTCTATGCCCTGGAAATAAAAAAAAAAAGGTATACCTAAAGATATATGTACAAGAATAGTTAGCACAGCATCATTTGAAACAGTAAAACCAGAAATAAACCGAAGATTGATCAATGAAAAGATGGTTGCATCAGTTACGCATGTCCGTACTATGGAATAAATTCTATCTACTTAAAGAATGATGTAGTTCTGTCTATATTGACTTCTACAGATGTACAGAATGCATTATTAAGCAGATTGTAGAACAAATAATAAGTCTCCATATGTTCATGTATGCTTGTATGTATTTGTATGAACATAGAAAAAGATAGAAGTATATATACCAGTTAACAACTGTTACTTTTCTGGTGGAGTGGGAATGCAAAGATCATTAATTTTTATATTATGGACATTTACCTCATAACAATCTTTTGAATTTAGAGAACACTAAATAATTTGAACTGGGCTATGTAAGGTTAAAGAAATCTGATAATGACAGCTAAATGGAGAGGATGCAGGGAGAGGGATGGTTGAGGGTGTCAATGATATTGGGCAAAGCCAGGCAAGAAAGCAGAGGGAAGATTTCCTTGGCTGGCATGAAGATTTAACAAAGATAAGGTTAAAATGAAGTCTAGGAAGTTTCTAAGACTAGCAGGTTCATCAAGATTGCATACTGTTTTTTCACCTCCTTTCTTGATTCCACAACAATAAATATTTTGGAACTAAGTATCAGGATTCCCCAGGCAGGAGAAGGGGATGTCAGTTAGGTGTTTGGTTCTCTATCCTGTTGTCTCCATTTGCCAGACTTGGGGGGGTGGGGAACGGGATTCCAAATTATATTGGACAATTAACCTCAGGTTAGAATAAGCTTCCTTTCCATACTGGGAGCAGTGAGGGAAGGAGACGTTGGAAACATCACCTTCTCCGAGAACCAGTCCTAGCAGCATCAGGGGATCTAAGGATCCACTGCCATTGTGGACAGGTCCACAAAGACCAACAAAGACCATGACCAGGGCCTTGATTTGACCACATCTGACTCAGCAGATCATTCTGAATTAATACTTCAATTTCCTTTTTTTTTTTTTTTTTTTTTTCAGTTTGTGGAAGATGAGGTTTTAGATCTGTGTGCACTATTTTGTTCCTTTATTTTCTAGGATTGTGTGAATGAAGCTGCATCTCAAGAGGGAGACAAGCCACAGGGTAAGTTGATCTTTAAGAAACATTAAGCTCACACTTGTATTCTTTTGAATGCATTCTGCAGCCAAAGTGAAGCGGAAACATTATCCATATAAACCAGAAAATTCACCCTGGGGACCTAGCTGAGGTTGGTTCCCACAAGCTATCCCCTAGGAAACTCCTAACACTTGTGAGTAGGTATAGCACCAGCAAAGTTCCTGGACCCAGCGAGGGTGTCCTTGGACTTTTCTGAAGTGTTACAGAGCTGGGCTTGCCTCTTGTGTCTTCTTTCCTAACTCAGACTCTTCTTTCTGGCCTTGGATCCGGCCCTGCCCAAGTTTTGACTCCTCTTAGGAAAGCAGAAATCACTCCTTCATGGACAACACCAACTTGGAGAATTCTCTGATGGGGTGCAGTATTCAGGTGATGATTGCCAGTAATGATAGATCCTGCACATCTGCATAAGTCAATATGTATAGATCTACCTCCTTCCGTATAGTAGATGCAGTTTGTTTCACAATGTGGACACACAAAACAAATGCAACCATGCCTTTACTGATGGATTTGCAGGTTATTTCTGGGTCAGCCCTGTGCAAGCTCTGAGTATCCAGTCGTGAATAAGATAGACAAGATCCTTTTCCTCATGGAAATCTTCCAAATAATAAAATCATAATTTTAATAGTATTGCTAATAATTATAGCTGAGGCCGGGTGCAGTGGCTCATGCCTGTAATCCCAGCACTTTGGGAGGCCGAGGTGGGTGGATCACTTGATGCCAGGAGTTCAAGACCAGCTTGGCCAACATGGCAAAACCCTGTCTCTACTAAAAATACAAAAATTAGCCAGGCATGGTAGTGCGTGCCTGTCGTCTCAGCTACTCGGGAGGCTAAGACATGAGAATCACTTGAATCTGGGAGCGCAAGATTGCAGTGAGCTGAGATCATGCCACTTTACCCCAGTCTGGGCAACAGAGCAAGACCCTGTCTCAAAAAAAAAAAAAATTGCAGCTGACATTATGTCCTGGGAAATAACTTTCATAAATATGTAATTCAATCTTCATAGCATATTCATATATAATCCTCTTAAAATACACCAGTTCAATTCTTGTAACAATCTTGTAAAGAAGATGTTGTGAGCCTCATCCTCATTTCACAGCTGAGTGCACTCAGCCAGAAATACGTGTACTCAGGCAGAAGGGTTTCAAAATTCTGGCAATGCCCTTTGGCCGAGACCCCAGGAACACACGTGTGACTGAACAAAAGTGCGTTTATTGACCTGTGGCTGTGAGGGCCCAGCACACCATGGGGAGTCACAGGGCTGTCAGAAACAGGGGGCAGGGAAGGACTTTTTATAGGATGTGGGCTCATGTTAGGTGATTCTGAGGAAGGTTCCAGGAAGTGGGACTTTGCTCCAGGATGGATGCGCTTAGGAAGTGGGGGGTAGTTCCACAATGAAGTGTTTGAATAATTCTTCTGTCCAAGGTGACAAGGGTGGAACGAGGCTAAAGCCATCAGGAGGCAGCTGTCATCTATTTAGCCAGTGCAGGGGATGTTCGGGCAATGCTGTTGTTTTTGTGTGCTCAGATACGATTGCAGAGTGGTTGTGGTTGTGGAAGACTCGTGTCTGATTTTCTGTAATACTGTGGATGAGAGACAGGAGGGTGCCATGGCCTTGCTGTGGAGGCCAGACCAGCTCCTGGCTCTCAAGGGCTATTTATTATCCCTTCTCACTCCTACTTTTAACCACTGCACTGTATGGTCTCTCTAAATTGAAGAGAGTCCATATTCGAAATAAATATAAAATTATTATTTTGGTAAGAATAGAGGAAATACACATGGCAGCTGATTTGTATAGTTTTGCGGTGAGCAATTTAGGTGAAGTTCTCTTGAAGAAGTTATATTTGCATAGGAACCTGAGTAGCCAGCAGGAGATAGGGCAGGAGGCAAAGAAAGTGCTGTCATATGGGCAAAAGTCCTGAAGTCTGTAAAGGAGAGTAGGGGGGAGTGTGAGGGAGGGAGGGGCACTTCCAGGCCTGACTCAAGTTCTTCCTTAACTGTGAAGCCTTCCATGCACACTTCCGTGCTAGTCAGGTCCTAAGGGCTTTACAGGTGCTGTTTCCTTTAGTCTTTTCAACCTCAACGTGGGCATTAGATTCCCATTCTACCAACATGGAAACAGATTCGCAAAGCGGTAAGTTTTCCAAGGCAATACAGCAAGGGCCTTTGATGCTGTGTCCATCCCACCTTCCCAACTTGCTGCTCAGACCCTTCCCACGAAGGCTGTTGATGACTCAGCCTCAGAGAAAGCTCCCTGCAGTTGCAGACTCTCCCTTTTGCTCAGTTCATAGGTCTGGTGTTGATGCTGCCTCAGCCAGGGGATGTGTGGAGAGATAGTTGTAGGGTGCAGGTTTGCAGGTTTTTACAGCAATTTATTGAGGTACGATTTACACAGAGTAAAATGCACAAATCTTAAGCAAACAGCTTGATGCCTTTTTCTATATCTATACATATGGGATCCCCATCTAGATAAAGATATAGAGCATTTCCATCATCTTACAGATTCTTGCTGCCCCTCGCCAAAGAGAAACACTATCCAGATTTCTATCAACATAGATTAATTTGGTCTGTTCTTCAACTTCATATGGTAGAATCATCTAGTATGCAGTTTTTGTGTCCTGCTTCTTTTACTTAGCGTGTTTTTTTGAGATCCATCTATACTGCATATCGCTAGTTCACTTTTTTTTTAATTGCTGAGTGTATTTGATTTTATACCACCAAGGGGCATTTGAAAATCGGATTCTCCCTGCTCCTGCCTTAGCCCCTGGGCTTACCTTTGGTACGTACTTACCTTTGGTAGGCCCCAGTACTTACCTTTGATAACAAAATGAGGGGAACCCTGAGGACCTAGACCAACGAAGGCCAAAGTTGGCATGTTCGTGTTCCTGGGGAATCATAAGCTCCATGAATATCTCTTAGTTCACTCCTGCCCCTGTTTGTGGCTTTCACCTTGATGGAGAGCTTCTGGCTGAGAGTAGAGTTCTACTGGTTTACCGTGTTGTTGCCATTCTCTATACAAGTTTGCAGGGATGAGAAATCATAAAACCTGCCCACATCCATATTCAACTGCAGGAAGAGACTCTGAACCTGTCCATTTGTCCCACAGGCCCAAGGGAAAGGCAGCTGCAGTCCACAGGACCCGAGCAGAATCCGGGGACATCAGAACTGACAGTCCTCCTTGTGGGGAAACGCGGTGCTGGAAAAAGTGCAGCAGGAAACAGCATTCTGGGGAGGCAGGCCTTTCAGACCGGATTTAGTGAGCAGTCAGTAACCCAGAGCTTCTTGTCTGAGAGCAGAAGCTGGAGAAAAAAGAAAGTTTCGATCATTGATGCTCCGGACATCTCATCTTTAAAGAACATTGACTCAGAAGTTAGAAAACACATCTGTACAGGCCCCCATGCCTTCCTGCTGGTGACACCACTGGGCTTTTACACTAAGAATGATGAGGCAGTGCTGAGCACCATCCAAAACAATTTTGGAGAAAAATTCTTTGAGTACATGATCATACTTCTTACCAGGAAAGAAGATTTAGGGGATCAGGATCTAGATACGTTCTTAAGAAACAGCAATAAAGCTCTCTATGGTCTCATCCAGAAGTGTAAAAACAGATATAGTGCCTTCAACTACCGGGCAACAGGAGAAGAAGAGCAAAGGCAGGCGGACGAGCTCCTGGAAAAAATTGAGAGCATGGTGCATCAGAATGGGAACAAGCATTGTGTTTTCAGAGAAAAAGGTAAAACTGTGAATAGGATATATATTTTTACATATATCATTTAAAAATAGGTATAAAATATATAAGAACTTTTTATTTTCTTTTTTTTCTTTTTTTTTATTATACTTTAAGTTTTAGGGTACATGTGCACATTGTGCAGGTTAGTTACATATGTATACATGTGCCATGCTGGTGCGCTGCACCCACTAACTCGTCATCTAGCATTAGGTATATCTCCCAATGCTATCCCTCCCCACTCCCCCCACCCCACAACAGTCCCCAGAGTGTGATATTCCCCTTCCTGTGTCCATGTGATCTTATTGTTCAATTCCCACCTATGAGTGAGAATATGCGGTGTTTGGTTTTTTGTTCTTGCGATAGTTTACTGAGAATGATGATTTCCAATTTCATCCATGTCCCTTCAAAGGACATGAACTCATCATTTTTTATGGCTGCATAGTATTCCATGGTGTATATGTGCCACATTTTCTAAAAGGCATAGAGAAGATAAAAAGGACAGGTCTCCTGTTCCTGTGTTAGTCTGCTTAGGATGGCAGCCTCCAGCTCTATCTATGTTACTGCAAAAGACAGGATTTCATTCTTTTTTATGGCTGCCTATTATTCTATGGTGTATATGTACCTGTACCTAAAATAAAAGTTGAAATGAAACAAAAAAGAAGTTGAAACTGGAAGAAAAATAAAGGAAGGATAGGTCTGTTCTATGGACTAACTCTTTTCTCTTTCTTTGCTTCTCAAATTGTACTGAAGTTATAGCTTTTCCATGCACATTCTCTTGAACCGGTCTTTAATTTTTTCATGATCTTTACTATCTCTTCAACTGGATAGTGTGAGTGTCTTGAAGAAAGGAGCTGATGCTTTCCAACCCTTTGTTTCCCCACAGTGTACTGTTGCCCAGAGCTTGGCACACTGCTCTCTTTACTACTTAAGAAGGGCTCCTCATCCACTTAGTGCTACACGTTCAGTTGACCTATGCTGAGGTCCTTCCCATTCTTACTCATCCCGTTTTTTTTTCTGCTTCAAACATCCTCACCCAGGAAGAAGATAAAACCCAAAGGAGCATATTTTCTTATTGAACCCTCCTTTAGAAGTATAGATACATGGGAAAGTCAGGAGAGGCTTTGTGTAGAAAGCCCAATTTGAAACAGGTTTTAGAGAATGGGTAGGGATTAAATGGCTGAGCAGAAAGCTGGAAGATATTCCAGAGAGTACACCAGCAATTTGAAGCAAAGAGGTAGGACTAAGCATGTCACTTGTTAGGGGACAAAAAAGAATAATCTTGGTGGAGATGGGGGTTCACAGCTCTAAAGGACATCTTCCAAGAACATTGAAGATTAAGGCGTTGAACATTAAGAACACTGAATTAGAGAATATGGGATGGGGAGTGGGGCCGGATTTCAGAGGTACATGAGAAACACACCCTCTGTAGGTACAGAAGTAGGGACTGAAATATATGACAAATATGGGAGTGTTGGAAGATTAAGCTATTGTTCATCTGCTGGGCATAACTATGAAGTTGAAGTTTCAGCATAAACAGGTTAATAATTTCCCCTTGAAGGAAGAGCATGGGATGTGCTTTCTTCCTCCTTTGCATTGAAGTAGATATTAGCTATTTGATATGAAATTCATAATGGAAGAGAACTACGAAGAGACTTGAATGAGCACTGGACTGTCACAGTGCAAGTGCAAAAGCATAAGAACGATCTCCAAAGAACGCATATTGTAAGGTCTCTATGTGTCTGTAAATTCCATTTATAGGGAAATTCATTCTCTTTCTCCATCATGGACACCACACACCCAACAGTGTTAGTGGATATTCATTATTATAACCATGCGGTTTCTTCTGACTCATCAGTGAAAGGCAATTAAGTTCAATGTGGTTTTAATGAGAAATGAATTTTTACATGTCCTAACTAAGGAAACTGGTAATCTATCAGTGATATGTAGAGTTTCTTTTTCATGAAAGTCAATTTTACAGAATAATTCTTTAAATACTGTAAGGAGATGTTGCTATAGTTAGCAGTAGTTGGGAGTGAGAAGATGTAGTTGTAACAGGAACAGAAGACAAAGGGATGAGATGTGTAGACGGAACCCAGCTGAGGGGAGCAGAGAGTAAGAAGGCCAGGGGACACTCACAGGTGCCAGGGAGTCTGTCTGGAAGGTGCTGCAAAAAGGGAGCAGAGCCGATTCAGTGATAGGAACAGTGCCACATTGGTGGATGAACCCTGGACGGAGACTGTATGTAGTCCAAGTCCTGCCATGAGTCCACAGACTGAGTGAACTGGGCCAAGTCATTCCCGTGTTTGGAGATCCCCCTGCTTGGGTGAGAAGGAGGTCTTGATGCTGTTTGAACATGCTGTTTACTTTAGTGATGTAATCTTGCTTCATGGGATAACTTTAAAATCCAATTTCAGATCAGCCCATGGTCACGAATCTTTCCCACTTTCCTTTGACAGAAACCCTGAACATTGTCCTTGTGGGGAGAAGCGGGACTGGGAAGAGTGCGACCGGGAACTCTATCCTGGGGAGCCTCGTCTTCACCTCTCGGCTCCGGGCCCAGCCAGTCACCAAGACCAGCCAGAGTGGCAGGAGGACATGGGACGGACAGGAGGTGGTGGTTGTGGACACTCCTTCCTTCAACCAGATGCTGGATGTCGAAAAGGACCCATCCCGGTTAGAAGAGGAGGTCAAGCGCTGTTTGTCCTGCTGTGAAAAAGGGGACACATTTTTTGTCCTGGTGTTCCAGCTGGGACGATTCACTGAAGAGGACAAAACAGCTGTGGCGAAACTGGAGGCCATCTTTGGAGCAGACTTTACGAAATACGCGATTATGCTGTTCACCCGGAAGGAAGACCTAGGGGCGGGGAATTTGGAAGACTTCATGAAGAACTCAGATAACAAAGCCCTTCGGCGCATTTTTAAAAAGTGTGGGCGGCGAGTTTGTGCTTTTAACAACAAAGAAACAGGCCAGGCCCAGGAAACCCAGGTGAAAGCTCTTTTAACAAAGGTCAATGATCTGAGAAAAGAAAGTGGGTGGTCCGGGTATCCCCATACACAGGAGAACGTCAGCAAACTAATTAAAAATGTCCAGGAAATGTCCCAAGCCGAAAAACTCCTTAAAAATTTAATAGGTATTTTACAATAGGTAGCCGAAGTGCCTGGGGTCTCTTCAATTAGAGACACCCTCAGGTTGGGGGGAGGGGCGGGGCATGGTACAACCTGTGGGAAGGGAAGCGGGTTCATGGCTTTGAGGGCCTGAGAGGCAAATGCATCCCGCCTTGTGATGTATCAGCTATTTGTAGATAAATAAATTGCAGGTGGGGGCGAATAGTAGGGTATTATAAAGGAGAAAGAAGATACAAGGTGGGGAAATCTGGAAAAAGATTTCAGACATTAGGCTGATAATAAGTGGTAGAATCAAGTCACAAGAATCACCTCACTTGTGTAGGTAGGTTGGAATCAGGATAGACACTGTGATCAAGGCTGAGGCCACCTGGGATGAGAATATAGATAGTCGTACAACAACCCAGGGGATCCAGATACATGAGACCAGGGCAGCGTTCAGCACACTCCTGGGCATGGCGGAAGCAGGAAGCAGACTCCAGAGGGCCTCCCTGTTGTCCAGGGCCGTTGGCTCCCTGAGCTCTCCTGTCTCCTTTGGGATGCGACTTAGGGCTAGAGTGTTCTTTTCTTCACACGTTAGCCATTCCTTACGGCTCTTCACGTTCCACGCCTAGATGTGAAGTGGGACATAGTCTTCCATTGCTGGCTGTCCCTGAGGAAACAGACATGAGTCTTGGAGGTTCTGAATGATTTTATTGCTAATTATCACAGTGACATAGACTAGAACAGAAATTAGAAGCATAGTAAGATTGCCAAAATCAGAGAATCTTGCAAAGTTCTGTAATTCTAAGTGTTGTTCTAGATTTCCTCTAGAGAAGGTTATTAGAATCTCCATTGCGTTTCTCTTTCTCCTTCTCTTTCCCTTGAGGTTAGGAAACAGGTTAAAACTCAGAGAACTCCAATAATAATGGTTTAAAAACATCAGGGGCTTCCTGTATCTCCTGTCAGGAAGCCGAGGAATAAGCAGGCTGGGGCTGGTGGGCGTCAACATCCCAGTTTTGTTCTATCTTTCTGTCCCACCTGCACTGGGATGTGGCTTCTACACTCGAATTTGCTTCTTGGTTTCAAGACAGTGGTGTTCTTTCCATAGCTGAGCAGATTATTTTGAGAGGTGGGTGATATGTGAGAGAGAAATCTGGAACCTTCTTCTGGGTAGATACAGGATAAGATAGATACAGGGTAAAATGTTGAGCACTTTGTACATGCTTTGAGAGCATAATCTTTGTCATCTGTTTTTTTCCCCTAGACAATATCAGGTTACCGTCAACATTAATCCATTTAAAAGGACATGGACTGTTGCCATTAATACTTTTGGATTCCATATAACCCTTAACACAATAACTTCTAGAAAATGTGTGTGCCGTAGACACAAAGAAGGGAACAATAGACACCAGGGTATACTTGAGGGTGGAGGGTGGCAGGAGGGTGAAGATTGAAAAGCTGCCTATTGCGTGTTATGCTGGTTTCCTGGGTGACAAAATTACCTGTACACCACACCCCTGTGACACACAACTTACTCATGTAACAAACCTGTGCATGTACCCCTTGAACCTGAAATAAAAATTGGAAAGTAAAAAAAAGTGTGTAAATATATTTAGTTGAATCAAATAATAAAGATGAATCATTATGAATTCACATTCTCTTTCTGATTTCTATTTTTGTGATTTAGGGAAGCAGCATACCTTCATGAAGAGACAATTGAGATGTTTAGATACCTTGACTCAGGCGAGGTTTTTGTATCTTTGGTGCCTGAGGACCTTCATTTAGACTGGGTGACAGCCATTTGTGTGGCAGGTCCCTGACAGCTCAGTTATCTTTCACTCTGGACATCTAAGTATAGCAAGGACAAATAAATGTAACCAGTATTAGAACCAGAAACATGGGAGGAATAAGGTCTGAAAGGCATTTTGTGCTTCTTCCCTGAGCTTCCCTTCTGCCTGAAGGCAGAAACAAATCCCAGTGTGCTACCTATGGCTGAGCAGGTGACACTGGGAGCTGCACAAGGTGGGTGATGTGTGGGCTAAGCAATGTGGCATCCTCTCACAGGTTGGCTCTAACATACCTTGCTGTTTTCCTTCAGGTCCAAGTCTGAACGGGGCAACAATACTGCTGTGTCAGTTTCTCTGAGAAATACATGCCGAGAAAGAGTTAGGAGCACAAGAGGTTTATGGGGAAAGCTCATGAAAGACAAAAGAGGGAAGAAGCCAAATTGGGCAGGGAAAGCCTTCAGACTGTCATTTAGACTGGACACTTGCAAGAGAAAAGTGGGGAGGAGCTGAGTTGGGCAGGAAGAGCCTGGCAAAGCCCAGGCCAACTCAATAGGGAATTCTGGGGCAAAGACAGATTAATAGCCAAGTCCTGCATTGGACAGACACTAGGAGCTCTGCTGTGCTCCGCTTTAGGCTGGGGACTGGCTGGAGAAAGCATGGCTTCAGCTCAGAAGCTCAGATGGGACCTGACAGTGTTGCAGCTGGAGCTGAATGGCAAGTTTCTTCTTGAAGTGAAAGCCTTCAAGAGTGGCATCCCTTCCTCACTGCCATAATTGGCGGACATCCTCCATGTCTCACTGAAGACCCTCCTTGAGCTGGAAGTCCAGAACTGATATTCTACTCTCTCAAACATATGTGTCTTACCAAGGCCACTATCATGCTGGCCACCTATTGCTTGTCCTGCCTCTCCAATGTGACATCATTGAGGTAATGTGCTAGTTCTCAACTGGAAACAATTTTGCCCTGTAGAAGACATTTGGCAATTCCTGGAGAAATTTTCTTTTTCTTTTTTTGGAGACGGAGTCTTCCTCAGTCACCCAGGCTGGAGCGCAGTGGTGTGATCTGGGGTCACAGCAAGCTCCGCCTCCCAGGTTCATGCTATTCTCCTGCCTCGGGCTGCCGAGTAGCTGGGACAACAGGCGCCCACCACCACGCCCGGCTAATTTTTTTTAAAAATTACTTTTAGTAGAGATGGGGTTTCACTGTGTTAGCCAGGATGGTCTTGATCTCCTGACCTCGTGATCTGCCCGCCTTGGCCCCTCAAAGTGCTGGGATTACAGGCGTGAGCCACCACACCCAGCCTCCTGGAGAATTTTTTAGTTGCCACAACAGGGAGTGGGTGCTACTGGTATGTGGTAAATAGAATCCAGGGATGCTACTGAACATCCTAAGATGCACACGACAGTCCCCCACAACAGAGTTATCTGGACCAAAATGTCAATAGTCCCAAGGCTGAGAGACCCTGATACAGTGGACCAATGTGATAGACTGCAGGATGTACAGATGATCCAGACCTCTTTTGGTTAGAGAGTGGGAGAGGTAACTTCTAAGGAAATGTTTTTTGCCTATTTACAGTGCCTCTGTTTTGCTGATGCACTAAGAACATGCTTATTTTTCACAAAGGGTCATCCAGCACCCCCAGCCTCCTCTCCTTCCTCAGAGCAATCCTTTTCACTTCATTTCTCTCTTTTCCTGCACTGAGCAAGATTTACTGAAGAACAAGGCTTTTGTGATGAACTTAGCATAAAGAGTAAAAAAAAAAAAAATAGTTTCGTGATTCCATGACGACAGAAAGTCCCATAAAATTTGGCTAAATTTCTGCAAGGGAGTCAGCTAAGTTGCTGACATGATCTGTGAAGCCTGCCAGCAAGCTCACTTCCCTAGAAGAATCCCCAGGCCACTTGGCTATGAGCCTCTTCTCCTCCTCCCTCAAATGAAGCATCCACCTTTTCAGTAAAAACCCTCTCCTTCCTAGCTCATCCTTACATTAGCTTGTTCCATGGGCCCACTGGTCCAGCCTCTACCACTAGCACACTATCATCCTCCCTAGCAGATGAAGGCATCGGCAGGCCCACCTCCCGTTCTCCCATGAGAGGCAGCTTGATGTTCATGAGAAACCTCCGTGGCCTTCACTCTTGCACCTCTGTATTTCTGTGAATACACACAGGATGTGCTCAACAGACTGGTGTAAAATCTAGTTGTGAACAGCATGATCAGCATGATACATTTTCCTCTTCAGCTACAAACTTCCTGTTTATTGCTCTTCACTTCACATCGTCCTCATGTATGTTGGTGGGTGGTAGTGTGGCGGGCTTGCGTTTCCTGACCCACAGATTATAGGGCAGCGTGTAGGCTAGACTAAAAGGGGTCAAGCCAGGGCCAAGGTGTCATGCCTAAAAGACCCTCTGGGAATATACTTGTAATTTGTCCTTCAAAAATCATCAGTAACCTGAAGTTTAAAATGACATCATGTCGACAATAATTATGAATGTTTTCCTAGCTTGCAACCCACCTGCTCTTGCAGCACTATGGGCTGCCAGCAAGTTCCTGTTTCCCTCAATTTATTTCTGAGGTTTCCCAATGGATGAGTTACATTAGCTACCGAAAATTTCTGTCACTTGTCACGTGGTGTTTATCTTGGTTTTACTTTTGTCCTGATCCAAATCCTTCTCCACTGGGTGCTGCTTACTAGGCACTGTTAACTACAAAGCATGCCTTTCAATCCTGTTGGCCACCACAGCTTCAAGTCAACACTGCAAGGCCTACTGGGTATTGGAGCATGCGCTAAACACCTTTGGTCTTTCTTCTATTTGTGTTTTCACTGGGTAATGAGGTTCTCACGGGCACCACTTTTGGCTCCACTGGCTGTTCATCCCTTCCTTCCTGGGTTTCCTATTTTGCAAATGGTGCCATAATCTGTCTAGTTGTCCATGACAGAAGCCTTGACTCTTTCTTCCAACAAATAACAAAAGAGTTGTGTATTATAAAGGCTTCATGTCTCTCTGGAGCATCCACTTTTTTTTTTCCTTATCTCTACTCGAGTTATGGTCACCATCGTTTCTGGACTGGATTGTTGCAACTGTTTCTTTGGATTGAACCTGTTTCGAGGCTTGCTTCTCTCAAATTACCTTTCACACTGCAACCATAATGCTATATATTTATAAGACAAATATAATTGTGAGATGATGTCAGTGGGAATAGCAGAATAATGTCCTCCAAAAATCTCCACAAAGATAGAGAACACTGTCAAAAAATAGTCAGAATCAACTCTTTTTTTTTTTTTTTTTTTCAGAACTCTGGGTATCAACCCAACGCTTGAAGCAATATTGAGAGTGTTCATTCAAGAAAAATAGTAAGAATAGTGAGTTCTGTCATGTTTCAACTTGCCCCTTTCTCATTACCCCCAACTCTGTGGTAACCTTGAAAACCAAAAAACTAAAATCACTATGAAAACTAGCAGCCTGGAAGCCACTGAAGGGAGCTGAATGGAGTTAGAGCCCCTTAAAAGTCCCATTTCTAGAAAAATGTCATTATTTGACCTGTCCAGTGGTGCCCTGGGAGATCCCACTTGCAATTCAGGAATGGAAAACCAAATAGTGTATTTTCTCATTTCTTAGTGGGAGCTAAGCTATGAGGACGCAAAGGCACGAGAATGATATAATGGACTGAGGAACTGGGAGGGGGGCAGATTGGGAGGGGGATGAGGGATAAAAGACGACACTGGGTCCAGTGTACTCTGCTTGGGTGACGGGTGCACTAAAATCTCAGAGATCACCACTAGATAACTTATCCATGTAACCAAAAACCACCTGTACCCCAAAAACCATTGAAATAAAAATTAAAAAAGGAACAAGGTAATGAAAAAGAATAAATATAGTACTAATTTAAAAGAAAGAAAAATCCTGAGATCCTCCCCACTGTTTCTAAGAGTCCTCTTTTTCCTCAGCCTTTTCTCTACCTCCTCAGTCCTACAGAATTATGCACTGTTTCTTTGTTGGTGCAAGACTCCAAAAGCCTAAAATGTGGTGTTTTTACTGTTACTTTAAAAAAAAAAAAAAAACACCCTGGTATTCACACACACAATTATTCCTATTCGACTTTTTCTTTTTCCTGTTGTTTTAGTTTCAGGAACTTTTACTGGAGGTTCTGCAGAGAACATGCAGAGTCAGCATGCAGCCTTCCTTCCTGATTTTGATCACTCTTCCTTTTGCTCCTTCCTCTTTTAAAAAAGTGTAAGACGCTTTTATTTGTGTCTTGAGAGACTGTTCTTTAGTGGATAATAATATCTCTGTTTTAGTCTGTCAAGCTTTGGTTAAAAAAACTCATTCCTACCCCCTTCTACATTACATTGAAAGGTAGGAAAAGTCCATTTAATAAACATTTAAAAACCCCACATATTCAGAATATTGGATACATTATAAATGATCATCAAGTATGGGCATAAGAATGTTTAGAGTACCCCATCAGGTTTAACAAGAAGATATATTTATACTGATTTCTGGCATTCAATTTATGTTCTTTAAATACCTAAAAGACTCATTTCTAAATCTTCTAGCTCCTGGAGAAGGGCTATCTCTTTTTGAATTTTCTCCAGCTGCTTTTTTTCCTAGCTGTTTGCCGGTTGCTGCTTGTTATTTCAGTTGTTTGATTGTTTTCAGTTTCCTAGGTTCTCATGTTTTCCCCGCTATCTTAAAATCTCTTCATGTTGGCTGAGAGAAGATATTTTGGGGTGTGTTTCCTGTTTTGCAGTGACTGGCTTCATGCTTCCTTTGTTCTTAGGGGATGTTTTGGGAAATGGCTTGTTATTTGCCCTTGTAGTTTCATATTCTCTGCGGCCCCTCCTCATGTAGCTTAAGATCAATGACTTGTTCATTTCTTCTAAGTGGAGTTCTAAAAGTCATTGCAATATTGGCTCCTCACAGGGTACTTAGAACTGCTTAATAAGTTATTGATTTTATTGGAAATACTATGTCCAGAATTTTTCGCTAACGATTTCTGCATTTGATGGCATGATATTTTTGTGCAGGATAGAGCTAGTATAATGGAAAATCTCGCACCCATTATTAACACATAACCTGGGGGCACATGTAGTAGTTGTTGCAAGACAGGTTCAGTATACAAGTATCAGTCATGTATTACACCATATTAATAGAATGAAGGACAAAAATTGCATGATCATTTCACTGGATGCAGAAAAAACATTGTACAGCTCTTTATCTGGGCACCAAGCAAAGTATGTAAAATTTGAAGCCATAGGTTTGGAAATAAGTTTGTGGTTTTTAACATCCCACAATTTTTCCCCTTGATTTCCAAACCCCTACAGTAGTAATATGTATGAATACAGTGGTAATATGTATGAAGACTATAGTAGACTGTATTACAAGAGCCAGTTCCAAAGTCAAGTTTACAATCACACAGCAAGTAGAGAATTGCTGCTTTGACAAGAGTTTTCCTAGAGGGCCCAACTCATTATAAATGGGATCACTCTTCAGTATTTACATTATAGCATTTTATTTGTTGCAATATAGAAACAGGTTTGTTATTGACAGTAGGAAACTATGGTTTTGTCGACATCTGCATTACCTATTACCAACTCACTGATAGCTTTTAGATTGTATTTTAGTTCTCACTACTAATGTTACTTTGCCTCAAACCAGGAAACAGGTTCCTAGATCTCCCTACACCCATGTATACGTAGCCTGCCTGGGGCTTCCTTTTTCCATGTTATAAGCTGTCTGGAGTAGGCCTATTTTGGGCAGATTCCGGCTAATCTTTCCTCTTCAGGTTTACTTTTCTCAGTCTAATGTGGTATGGATGTTAGCTGAGTTGTACTGTGGGCTCATGCTACTCCATTTAGAAAGAAAATTTGGGAAGCCTCATTTTGAACTTTCATTCTTGTTGTGTTCTTCACTCCAACATCTTAGGGGGCTCTGTGTTTTGGATGAAAAGGTGATCATTTGCCCAACCGACTCCATTCTTTATGTATATATGCTATTTTTTTTTTTTTTGAGACGGAGTCTCGCTATGTTGGCCAGGCTGGAGTGCAGTGGCGCGATCTCGGCTCACTGCAAGCTCCGCCTCCCGGGTTCACGCCATTCTCCTGCCTCAGCCTCCCGAGTAGCTGGGACTACAGGCGCCCGCCAACACGCCCAGCTAATTTTTTGTATTTTTAGTAGAGACGGGGGTTTCACCGTGTTAGCCAGGATGGTCTCGATCTCCTGACCTCGTGATCTGCCCGCCTCAGGCTTCCAAAGTGCTGGGATTACAGGCGTGAGCCACCGCGCCTGGGGTATATATGCTATTATTCAGAGCTATGGAGGAAAGAAGGGGCTCATCGGCACGCTGAATCGAAACAGTAACACCTGGAATGTGAACGGTGGTTCGAAAAGTATTAACATGCTTACTTTTTGGAATTTCTAAGCACATGAACATGGCTAAATTCTGTTGGAGGCACCCGTCTGTCCTCAGGTGAAATTAAGATATGTTTGGTTATAAAAGAGATGCCAAGAGAAAAATAAAGGTAATATTCAGATTCAGATATTTTAAGAAAATGGCTTTGCATAAATCCAACAACATTGCAAGCCAAGATTTTGTCTAAGTATATCAACAGTCATGTCTGGTAGGGTAGGCAATCTGTTTTTCTGTTTCACTCCAAGAACATACCAAAATATTTCAATCACATCTATCTTCCCAAAAACTACTCTGATATTAGCTTAACATTACAAACGATTTCCCCTTTTAATGAATGAATGAATCACCTCTAGCTACTACTAACTCTTAGTACACAATTTTTAAAAACAGTCTCTGGGGCTTCTGATATTTGTTTTAAGTTTTAATCATTAATGGATGACTGTTTCTGAAAATCCACTTTTCCCCTTACATTTGTGAGATAAAATAAAAGAGACCGTAAACGTCAGATAAGGTTCAGCCAGAGAATTATATTCTGTACAAATAATGGTACAACAGCAATCTTTGGTTGTTGGGGCAGCTGCAACACAGCACAGATGTTACCTTCAACTTCCTTTGTAAAAAAATAAGTTTAAGTGTAAAAAATATATTATGACTTTATGATAAGGAAGGCTGGGGACTCTTTTCACATCTAATTTTTGAATAAATAATATATTTACATGATTCAAAAAACAAAAGAATATGAAAAGGCAAATTTAAGATGTCTTGATTCCACCTTGCCTGCCTGGTTCTCCCACAGTTTTCTGAAGTAACCATTGTTTCTTGGGTATACTTACATTGTTTCTTTCTAAAAATGTAAACAAATTGCAGTGCACGTTCTTAATTCCTTTCTTTCTTTCTTTTTTCGGATACAGAGTCCCCTCTGTCACCCAGGTTGGAGTGCTGTGGCATGATCGTAGCTCACTGCAGCCTTGAACTTCTGAGCTCATGGTCCTCCTGCCTCAGCCTCCAAGTAGCTAAGACTACCAGCAAGTGTCTTCATGCCCACCTGGTTAATTTTTTTTTTTTCAGAGATGGAGGCAGGGAGGGTCTCACTATACTGCCCAAGCTGGTCTTGAGCTCCTGTCTTCAAGCAATCCTTCCACCTCAGCCTCCCAAAGTGTTGGGATTATAGTTGAGCCCATGTGCCTGGCCATAGATTCTTAATTCCTTCTCTCTCTCTTTTTTTTTTTTTTTTAACATAAAAGGTAGCATACTGTTTATATATATGGCTCTATGTCTTGTTCTTTTCACTTAACAACATATCATGGGGATTGCTCCATCTCAGTATCTAGAGAGTCTCCTTATTTGTTTTATACAACGATATAGTAGTCCTTTGTGTAACAATACCTGCATTTGTGTTAACCCATTTCATTTGGGATATTTCTAAAACTTTGCAGTTTCAGACAGCACTTCATTGTTTGCTATTATTTCCCTCCACATTGGTTATGCCACTCTGTGTTTTCACTAATGAAGTGTGAAGGTGCATGTTTGTTCTCATATCATGGGTTTTGAAAATCTGATGGGGAGAAATCATATCTCAGTGCAGTTTGAAATTGCATTTCTCTCCGTGTGAGTGAGATTAAGCATCTTTTCTATATGTTTAATATCAGTTTTTTTCTGTTAAAATTTTTTCATATATTTTGTCCATTTTTACAATGAATTGTTGGACTTTTGCATCTTTACAATCAGCAAACTTTATTTTTTAGAGCAGTTTTAGATTCACAGCAAAATTGAGTGGAAAGCACAGAGTTCCCAGGCACTCCCTATCCTCACACATGCCCAACATCCCCAACTATTGACATCCAGCACCACAGTGATACGCTGGTAACAAGCAGTAAGCACAGCCTGACACTCTACACAGTAAGAGCTTAGTCACTTGTCTATTCTATGAGTTACAAATATTATTTTTCAGGTTGTCATATTTTAGTTTGTTTTTGTTATGTAGAAGTGTATCACTATTACATAGGCAAATTAATCAAATTATGTGTACGTCTGGTTTTTGAGTCATGCCTTCCACATGTATAGATTTTAATGGAATTGTTTTCTGTTTCTTTCTAGGACTTAAAAAATTTTTTTCTAGCATTTAAATGTTTTATTCATTTGTAATTCATCCCGGTGTTTATCAAGCAATTCTTCTCCCTTGCCTGCATAAACTGTTCTTCCAGCTACTAAACAATTGAAGAGGAAGAGAATATCTTAATAAAAAATATTCTAGCTACTTAAAAGAAAGGACATGTGAGAATACGATATCACCATTTTGCAACATACAATAAGGTAATGGATCTATACAATGCTCATGAATAACTGCTAACATAAAAAGAGAAAAAGCAAGGCATCAAGTGCCCCCGATGGAAATATACAACATCATCTATGAGTAATATTGTAAAAAAATTGAACTTGATTGTGACCTCTCTGATCAAATCAACCACAGCTAAATTCCAGTTTATAAAAATGTATGAGACTGAGGAACATGGCAAGTGATATTAAACAGAAAAATTCAGAATGGAGAAAAATCAATAGTACAAATTATATGGTATTTTTAAATGAATACATTGGAAGAAAAGAAATGGGGAAAAATCTTTTGTTTCATGCCATGATAGAGTAATGGGAATTGTTATTTACCCTCCTTCCATAAACAACCAGAAAAATGGTAAAATATATAAAGGAACTGTTTCCTGACATTGGACAATAGGCTGCTCAGGACTGATTCATGAGATAGGTCAAGCGGGTGGAAAATGAAAATAGATGTCAACTGAGATCTCCACAAAAGAATAAGAGATCAAAAATAGTAAATACTTGGATAAATATAAAATATTCTTTTTATCATTTAAAATTTCTTTAGAAGATAGATGATAGATTCTTGAAACCATTTTCATTGAATGTACCTTTTATGTAAATGTAAAATGTTTGACAGCAATAATGCAGAAGGTAGAAAGAAGGGAGTGAAAGTATAATATTATAAAGGTCTTATAGATGAAGTGACATAATATTTACTGACGGTAGAATGTGATGTTACAGAGAATAAAATAAGGTGCAGATAATAAAGCAATGGTGGGAATAAAATGAAATTTTAAAAAGTTGCCATAAAAGGCCAGGCATGGTGGCTCATACCTGTAATCCCAGCACTTTGGGAGGCCAAGGCAGGTGGATCACCTGAGGTCAGGAGTTTGAGACCAGTCTGGCCAACATGGTGAAACCCTGTCTCTACTACAAAAAACAACAAACAAACAAACAAAACAAAAATTAGCCTGGTGTGGTGGCATGCTCCTGTAGTCCTAGCTACTTGGGAGGCTGAGGCAGGAGAATCGCTTGAACCCAGGAGACGAAGGTTGCAGTGAGCCAAGATCGCACCACTGCACTCCAGCATGGGTGACAGAGCAAGACTCCACCTTAAAATAAACAAAAAAGTTGGCATCAAAAAGAATAGTTGGAACAAATAGCAAAATGATGGATTTAAACACAACCATATTGATAATCATATTAGATGTAAATTTCTAAATGCTCCAATTATAAGACACATTGTCAGATTGGATAAAAAAGCAAGACTTCACTGTATGCTATCTAAAGGAAAGTCACTTTAAATATAAAAACACAAATGGGTTAAATGTAGAAGAACTGAAAAAGATATACATCATGCATACATTACACATACAAAAACGACAATGGCTATATTAGTTATCAGACAAAGTGGGCTTCAGAACAGTGCTATCTCTTCATCAGGCATAAAGAACACTTCATAATAATAAATAGCATAATAATAATGCTAAAAAATTAGTTCATCAACAAGACAATAATACTGGCTGTGCATCCAACTAATTAATAACTAACAGCTTCAAAAAATAACAGAACTTCAAAATTCAAGAAGTGAAAATTGACAGAAATGGAGAAACAGACAAATCCGCAATTATAGTTGGAGATTTCAACATGCCTTTCTTAATAATGTATACTGTTTCCAAACATCTACAAGGACCTTTTTTTCTTAAGATTGAGCACAGATGACCAAAGAGAACTGTGTTTCATAATTCAGATTCCTGCACACCAATCTTTGACATGAGGTTTCACTTCCCAATTTCCCATACTCTTATTAATAAGTAGGTGGGTTGGGATCTGAAGAGATGCATGAAGGGACAGGAGAATGAACCATCTTAGATTAGGGTTCCAGATCTTGCACAATGGGTGGCTTTATTTATGCATCTAAGCTCCCTGGGCCTCAGTTTTCTCCTCTGTTAGAAAATAATAGTACTCTCGCATCATTGATGCAAAAATCCTCCATAAAATACTGGCAAACTGAATCCAGCAGCACATCAAAAAGCTTATCCACTATAATCAAGTGGGCTTCATCCCTGGGATGCAAGGCTGGTTCAACATATGGAAATCAATAAACACAATCCATCACATAAACAGAACCAAAGACAAAAACCACATGATTATCTCAATAGATGCAGAAAAGGCCTTTGACAAAATTCAACAGCCCTTCATGCTAAAAACTCTCAATAAATTAGGTATTGATGGGATGTATCTCAAAATAATAAGAGCTATCTATGACAAACCCACAGCCAACATCATACTGAATGGGCAAAAACTGGAAGCATTCCCTTTGAAAACTGGCACAAGGCAGGGATGCCCTCTCTCACCACTCCTATTCAACATAGTATTGGAAGTTCTGGCCAGGGGAATTAGGCAGGAGAAGGAAATAAAGGGTATTCAATTAGGAAAAGAGGAAGTCAAGTTATGCTTGTTTGCAGATGACACGATTGTATGTTTAGAAAACCCCCTTGTCTCAGCCCAAAATCTCCTCAAGCTGATAAGCAACTTCAGCGAAATCTCAGGATACAAAATCAATGTGCAAAAATCACAAGCATTCCTATACACCAATAACAGACAAACAGAGAGCCAAATCATGAGTGAAATCCCATTCACAATTGCTTCAAAGAGAGTAAAATACCTAGGAATCCAACTTACAAGGGATGTGAAGGAACTCTTCAAGGAGAACTACAAACCACTGCTCAATGAAATAAAAGAAGACACAAACAAATGGAAGAACATTCCATGCTCATGGGTAGGAAGAATCAATATCGTGAAAATGGCCATACACTCCAAGGTAATTTATAGATTCAATGCCATTCCCATCAAGCTACCAACAACTTTCTTCACAGAATTGGAAAAAACTACTTAAGTTCATATGGAACCAAAAAGAGCCCACATTGCCAAGACAATCCTAAGCCAAAAGAACAAAGCTGGAGGCATCACGCTACCTGACTTCAAACTATACTACAAGGCTTCAGTAACCAAAACAGCATGGTACTGGTACCAAAACAGAGATACAGACCAATGGAACAGAACAGAGTCCTCAGAAATAATACCACAGATCTACAACCATCTGATCTTTGACAAACCTGGCAAAAAGAAGAAATGGGGAAAGGATTCCCTATTTAATAAATGGTGCTGGGAAAACTGGCTAGCCATAGGCAGAAAGCTGAAACTGGATCCCTTCCTTACACCTTATACAAAAATTAATTCCAGATGGATTCAAGACTTACATGTTAGACCTAAAACCATAAAAACCCTAGAAGAAAACCTAGGCAGTACCATTCAGGACATAGGCATGGGCAAGAACTTCATGTCTAAAACACCAAAAGCAATGGCAACACAAGCCAAAATTGACAAATGGGATCTAATTAAACTAAAGAGCTTCTGTACAGCAACAGAAACTACCATCAGAGTGAACAGGCAACCTGTAGAATGGGAGAAAATTTTTGCAATCTACTCATCTGACCAAGGGCTAATATCCAGAATCTACAAATAACTCAAACAAATTTACAAGAAAAAAACAAACAGTCCCATCAAAAAGTGGGTGAAGGATATGAACAGACACTTCTCAAGAGAAGACATTTATTCAGCCAACAGGCACATGAAAAAATGCTCATCATCACTGGCCATTGGAGAAATGCAAATCAAAACCACAATGAGATACTATCTCACACCAATTAGAATGGCGATCATTAAAAAGTCAGGAAACAACAGGTGCTGGAGAGGATGTGGTGAAATAGGAACACTTTTACACTGTTGGTGAACTGTAAACTAGTTCAACCATTGTGGAAGACAGTGTGGTGATTCCTCAAGGATCTGGAACAAGAAATACCATTTGACCCAGCCATTCCATTACTGGGTATATACCGAAAGGATTATAAATCATGCTGCTATAAAGACACATGCACACTTATATTTATTGTGGCACTATTCACAATAGCAAAGACTTGGACAACCCAAATGTCCATCAATGATTGATTGGATTAAGAAAATGTGGCACATATACCCCATGGAATACTATGCAGCCATAAAAAATGATGAGTTCATGTCCTTTGTAGGGACATGGATGAAGCTGGAAACCATCATTCTCGGCAGACTATCACAAGGTCAAAAAACCAAGCACCATATGTTCTCACTCATAGGTGGGAATTGAACAATGAGAACACTTGGACACCGGGTGGGGAACATCACACACCGGGGCCTGTTGTAGGGTGGGGGGAAGGGGGAGGGATAGCATTAGGAGATATACCTAATGTAAATGACGAGTTAATGGGTGCAGCACACCAACATGGCACATGTATACGTATGTAACAAACCTGCACATTTTATACACGTACCCCAGAACTTGAAGTATAATAAAAAAAATTAAAAAAGAGAAATACAATTTATTTTTGCATTTTTATCTCATTTCCTGTCACTTTGCTAAACTCACTTATTAGTTTTAGGAGATTTTCTTAATAGGTCCCTTGACATTTTCTACATAGACAATGGTGCCATTTGAAAATAGATGCAGTTTTATTTCTTCCTTGTCTGACTGTTTTCCTTTTATTTCCTTTTCTTATTTTATTGCACTGACTGAAACTTACAGCACTCAGAGTGGTAAAAGCAGATACCTTGCCTGGTTTTCAATCTTGGGAGAAAGAATTCATTCTCTTACTATTAAGTATAATACTAACTGTAAAGGTTTTTTTTTTTGGTAGATGCTCTTTATTTTTTGAGAATTTTTTTTATGCTTAAGTGTTGAATTTTATCAAATGCTTTTTCTGCATTGATTAATATGATCACATAGTTTTCTTTAGCTTGTTAATGTGGTAGATCATATTGATTGATGTTAAAATATTGAATAAGCCTTGAATCCCTAAAATAAACTCCACTTGTTCATGATGTATAATTTTTTAATATACTGCTGAATTTTATTTGCTGATATTTTGTTACAGTTTTTTTTTTTTACCTCTGTATCCTTGAAGAATATTGGTCTGTAGTTTTCTTTCTTTGTACTAGTTTTTTATCTTATTTTATTTTATTATTATTATACTTTAAGTTTCAGGGTACATGTGCACAATGTGCAGGTTAGTTACATATGTATACCTGTGCCATGCTGGTGTGCTGCACCCATTAACTCGTCATTTAGCATTAGGTATATCTCCTAATGCTATCCCTCCCCACTCCCCCCGACCCCACAACAGTCCCCAGAGTGTGATGTTCCCCTTCCTGTGTCCATGTGTTCTCACTGTTCAATTCCCACCTATGAGTGAGAACATGTGGTGTTTGGTTTTTTGTCCTTGTGATAGTTTACTGAGAATGATGATTTCCAATTTCACCCATGTCCCTACAAAGGACATGAACTCATCATTTTTCATGGCTGCATAGTATTCCATGGTGTTATATGTGTATATGTGCCACATTTTCTTAATCCAGTCTATCATTGTTGGACATTTGGGTTGGTTCCAAGTCTTTGCTATTGTGAATAGTGCCGCAATAAACATACGTGTGCATGTGTCTTTATAGCAGCATGATTTATAGTCCTTTGGGTATATACCCAGTAATGGGATGGCTGGGTCAAATGGTATTTCTAGTTCTAGATCCCTGAGGAATCGCCACACTGACTTCCACAATGGTTGAACTAGTTTACAGTCCCACCAACAGTGTAAAAGTGTTCCTATTTCTCCACATCCTCTCCAGCACCTGTTGTTTCCTGACTTTTTAATGATTGCCATTCTAACTGGTGTGAGATGGTATCTCATTGTGGTTTTGATTTGTATTTCTCTGATGGCCACTGATGATGAGCATTTTTTCATGTGTTTTTTGGCTGCATAAAAGTCTTCTTTTGAGAAGTGTCTTTTCCTGTCCTTTGCCCACTTTTTGATGGGGTTGTTTGTTTTTTTCTTGTAAATTTGTTTGAGTTCATTGTAGATTCTGGATATTAGCCCTTTGTCAGATGAGTAGGTTTTGAAAATTTTCTCCCATTTTGTAGGTTGCCTGTTCACTCTGATGGTAGTTTCTTTTGCTATGCAGAAGCTCTTTGGTTTAATTAGATCCCATTTGTCAATTTTGGCTTTTGTTGCCATTGCTTTTGGTGTTTTAGACATGAAGTTCTTGCCCATGCCTATGTCCTGAATGGTAATGCCTAGGTTTTCTTTTAGGATTTTTATGGTTTTAGGTCTAACGTTTAAGTCTTTAAGCCATCTTGAATTAATTTTTGTATAAGGTGTAAGGAAGAGATCCAGTTTCAGCTTTCTACATATGGCTAGCCAGTTTTCCCAGAACCATTTATTAAATAGGGAATCCTTTCCCCATTGCTTGTTTTTCTCAGGTTTGTCAAAGATCAGATAGTTGTAGATATGCGGCGTTATTTCTGAGGGCTCTGTTCTGTTCCATTGGTCTATATCTCTGTTTTGGTACCAGTAGCATGCTGTTTTGGTTACTGTACATGATCAAGTGGGCTTCATCCCTGGGATGCAAGGCTGGCTCAATATATGCAAATCAATAAATGTAATCCAGCATATAAACAGAACCAAAGACAAAAACCACATGATTATCTCAATAGATGCAGAAAAGGACTTTGACAAAATTCAACAACCCTACATGCTATAAACTCTCAATAAATTAGGCATTAATGGGATGTATCTCAAAATAATAAGAGCTATCTATGACAAACCCACAGCCAATATCATACTGAATGGGCAAAAACTGGAAGCATTCCCTTTGAAAACTGGCACAAGACAGGGATGCCCTCTCTCACCACTCCTATTCAACATAGTGTTGGAAGTTCTGGCCAGGGGAAATAGGCAGGAGAAGGAAATAAAGGGTATTCAGTTAGGAAAAGAGGAAGTCAAATTATGCCTGTTTGCAGATGACATGATTGTATGTCTAGAAAACCCCATTGTCTCAGCCCAAATTCTCCTTAAGCTGATAAGCAACTTCAGCGAAATCTCAGGATACAAAATCAATGTACAAAAATCACAAGCATTCTTATACACCAATAACAGACAAACAGAGAGCCAAATCATGAGTGAACTCCCATTCACAATTGCTTCAAATAGAATAAAATACCTAGGAATCCAACTTACAAGGGATGTGAAGGACCTCTTCAAGGAGAAGTACAAACCACTGGTCAATGAAATAAAAGAGGATACAAACAAATGGAAGAACATTCCATGCTCATGGGTAGGAAGAATCAATATCATGAAAATGGCCATACTGCCCAAGGTAATTTATAGATTCAATGCCATTCCCATCAAGCTACCAATGACTTTCTTCACAGAATTGGAAAAAACTACTTTAAAGTTCATATGGAACCAAAAAAGATCCCACATCGCCAAGTCAATTCTAAGCCAAAAGAACAAAGCTGGAGGCATCACGCTACCTAGTATTAATTATTCTTACAAGTTTTGTGGAATCCACTATTGAAGGCATCAGGGCCTGGGTTTTCTTTGTAGGTAATTTTAAAATTACTAATTGAATCTATGTGTTATATGTCTATAATGTACTATGGAAGTAGAAAGCCTGTCAGTGGTTTTAGATCAAACTTTGGTCACATTGCTAACTCCTCTTTTCTTCCTGTTGATTGAATGGATTTAGTAGAGGTTTATTTTTCCCTGTTTATTGTTATTTTTTTGTATTACAATAAGAAATTGCTAAATAGGGACCCAGGTAGCAGTTGACATTGTCTTCCAGGTTACTATATTTATGGAAGACATTGTCTTCCAGGTTATTTATATTATAATATAAATATAATTTATTTATATTATAAATATATATAAATATAATTTATTTATATTATAAATATATATAAATATTTATATATATTTATATATAAAATAATATAAATATATTATATTAATATTATAATATACATAAATTATATTTATATTATATTTAGTGGAAGTCCTTGGTCTTCCACTAAATGCAAATGTGTTATGCTTGTAAAGGATAAGAGAACTGCTGAAGATCAGTTCCAAGATGGCCGAATAGGAACAGCTCCGGTCTGCAGCTCCCAGCGTGATCGATGCAGAAGATGGGTGATTTCTGCATTTCCAACTGAGGTACATGGTTCATCTCACTGGGACTGGTTGGACAGTGGGTGTAGCCCACAGAGAATGAGCTGAAGCAGGGCAGGGCCTTGCCTCACCCAGGAAGCATAGGGGTTGGGGGATTTCCCTTTCCTAGCCAAGGGACACCTTGAAAGACTGTACTGGGAAAATCAGGACACAGCCACCCCAATACTGCACTTTTTGAATGGTCTTAGCAAACGGCACACCAGAAGATTATATCCCATGCCTGGCTCAGTGGGTCCCAAGCCCATGGAGCCTTGCTCACTGCTAGCACAGCAGTCTGAGATCAAACTGCAAGGTGGCAGCCTCCTGAACAAAAGGCAGCAGAAACTCCTTTTCTGCAGGGACTTAAACGTCCCTGTCTGACAGCTCTGAAGAGAGCAGTGGTTCTCCCAGCATGGTGTTTGAGCTCTGAGAATGGACAGACTGCCTTCTCAACTGGGGCCCTGACCCTGTGTAGCCTAACTGGGAGACACCTCCCAGTAGAGGCTGACTGACACCTCATAGAGCTGGGTGCCCCTCTGAGATGAAGCTTCCAGAGGAAGGATCAGGCAGCAATATTTGGTGTTCTGCAATATTTGCTGTTCTGCTGCCTCTGTTGGTGATACCCAGGCAAACAGGGTCTGGAGTGGACATCCAGCAAACTCCAACAGACCTGCAGCTGAGGGACTTGACTGTTAGAAGGAAAACTAACAAACAGAAAGGAATAGCATCAACATCAATAAAAAGGACATCCACACCAAAACCCCATCTGTAGGTCACCATCATCAAAGACCAAAGGTAGATAAAACCACAAAGATGGGGAGAAACCAGAGGAGAAAAGCCGAAAATTCTAAAAACCAGAGGGCCTCTTCTCCTCCAAAGAATCACAGCTCCTCGCCAGCAATGGAACAAAGCTGGACGGAGAATGACTTTAACGAGTTTACAGAAGTAGGCTTCAGAAGGTTGGTAATAACACACTTCTCCGAGCTAAAGGAGGATGTTCGAACCCATCACAAGGAAGCTAAAAACCTTGAAAAAAGAGTAGATGAATGGCCAACTAGAATCAACAGTGTAGAGAAGACCTTCAGTTACCTGACAGAGCTGAAAACCATGGCATGAGAACTACGTGATAAATGCACAAGCCTCAGTGGCTGATTCAATCAAGTGGAAGAAAGGCTATCAGTGATTGAAGATCAAATTGATGAAATGAAGTGAGAAGACAAGTTTAGACAAAAAAGAGTAAAAAGAAATAAAGCCTCCAAGAAATATGGGACTATGTGAAAAGACCAAATCTACGTTTGATTGGTGTACCTGAAAGTGACGGGGAGAATGGAACAAAGCTAGAAAACACTCTCCAGGATATTATCCAGGAGAACTTCCCCAACCTAGCAAGGCAGGCCAACATCCAAATTCAGGAAATACAGAGAACATCACAAAGATATTCCTTGAGAAGAGCAACCACAAGACACATAAATGTCAGATTCACTAAGGTTGAAATGAAGGAAAAAATGTTAAGGGCAGCCAGAGAGAAAGGTCGGGTTACCCACAAAGGGAAGCCCATCAGACTAACAGTGGATCTCTCAGCAGAAACCCTATGAGCCAGAAGAGAGTGGGGACCAATATTCAACATTCTTAAAGTAAAGAATTTTCAACCCAGAATTTGATATCCAGCCAAACTAAGCTTCATAAATGAAGGAGAAATAAAATGCTTTACAGACAAGCAAACATTGAGAGATTTTGTCACCACCAGGCCTGCCCTAAAAGAGCTCCTGAAGGAAGCATGAAACATGGAAAGGAACAACCGGTACCAGCCACTGCAAAAACATGCCAAATTGTAAAGACGATCTATGCTAGGAAGAAACTGCATCAACTAACTGGCAAAATAACCAGCTAACATCATAATGTCAGGATCAAATGCACACATAACAATATTAACCTTAAATGTAGATGGGCTAAATGCCCCAATTAAAAGACACAGACTGGCAAATTGGATAACGAGTCAAGACCCATCAGTGTGCTGTCTTCAGGAGACCCATCTCACATGCAGAGACACACATAGGCTCAAAATAAAGGGATGGAGGAAGTAATACCAAGCAAATGGAAAGCAAAAAAAGCAGGAGTTGCAATCTTAGTCTCTGATAAAAACAACTTTAAAACAACAAAGATCAAAAGAGACAAAGAAGGCCATTACATAATGGTAAAGGGATCAATTCAACAAGAAGAGCTAACTATCCTAAATATATATGCACCCAATACAGGAGCAACCAGATTCATAAAGCAAGTCCTTAGAGACTTACAAAAAGATTTAGACTCCCACACAATAATAATGGGAGACTTTAACATCCCACTGTCAATATTAGACAGATCAATGAGACAGAAAGTTAAGAAGAATATCCAGGACTTGAACTCAGCTCTGCACCAAGCAGACCTAATAGACATCTACAGAACTCTCCAACCCAAATCAACAGAATATACATTCTTCTCAGCACCACATCACACTTATTCCAAAATTGACCACGTAGTTGGAAGTAAAGCACTCATCAGCAAATGTAAAAGAACAGAAATTATAACAAACTGTCTCTCAGACCACAGTGCAATCAAATTAGAACTCAGGATTAAGAAGCTCACTCAAAACCACACAACTACATGGAAACTGAACAACCTGCTCCTTAATAACTGCTGGGTACATAACGAAATGAAGGCAGAAATAAAGATGTTCTTTGAAACCAATGAGAACAAAGACACAACGTACCAGAATCTCTGGGACACGTTTAAAGCAGTGTGTAGAGGGAAATTCATAGCACTAAATGCCCACAAGAGAAAGCAGGAAACACCTAAAATTGACACCCTAACATCACAATTGAAAGAACTAGAGAAGCAAGAGCAAACACATTCAAAAGCTAGCAGAAGGCAAGAAATAACTAAGATCGGAGCAGAAATGAAGGAGACAGAGACACAAAAAACCTTCAAAAAATCAATGAATGCAGGAGCTCGTTTTTTGAAAAGATCAACAAAATTGATAGACCACTAGCAAGACTAATAAAGAAGAAAAGAGAGAAGAATCAAATAGATGCAATAAAAAATGATAAAAGGGATATCACCACCCATCCCTCAGAAATACAAACTACCATCAGAGAATACTATAAACACCTCTATGCAAAACTAGAAAATCTGGAAGAAATGGATAAATTCCTCGACACATACACCCTCCCAAGACTAAACCAGGAAGAAGTTGAATCTCTGAATAGGCCAATAATAGGCTCTGAAATTGAGGAAATAATTAAGAGCCTACCAACCAAAAAATGTCCAGGACCAGATGGATTCCCAGCCAAATTCTACCAGAGGTAGAAAGAGGAGCTGGTACCATTCCTTCTGAAACTATTCCAATCAATAGAAATGGAGGAAATCCTCCCTAACTCATTTTATGAGGCCAGCATCATCCTGATACCAAAGCCTGGCAGAAACACAACAAAAAAAGAAAATTTTAGACCAATATCCCTGATGAACGTCGAGGCAAAAATCCTCAATAAAATACTGGCAAAATGAATCCAGCAGCACATGAAAAAGCTTATCCACCAAGATCAAGTCTGCTTCATCCCTGGGATGCAAGGCTGGTTCAACATACGCAAATCAATACATGTAATCCATCACATAAACAGAACCAAGGTAAAAAAACCACGATTATCTCAATAGATGCAGAAAAGGACTTTGACAAAATTCAACAGCCTTCATGCTAAAAGCTCTCAATAAACTAGGTATTGATGGAACATATCTCAAAATAATAAGAGCTATTTATATCAAACTCACAGCCAATATCATACTGAATGGGCAAAAACTGGAAGCATTCCCTTTGAAAATCAGCACAAGACAGGGATGCCCTCTCTCACCACTCCTATTCAACATAGTGTTGGAAGTTCTGGCCAGGGCAGTGAGGCAAGAGAAAGAAATAAAGGGTATTCAGTTAGGAGAAGAGGAAGTCAAAGTGTCCCTGTTTGCAGATGACATGATTGTATACTTAGAAAACCCCATCGTCTCAGCCCAAAATCTCCTCAAGCTGATAAGCAACTTCAGTGAAGTCTCAGGATACAAAATCAATGTGCAAAAATCGCAAGCATTCCTATACCCCAATAACAGACAGAAAGCCAAATCATGAGTGAACTCCCATTCACAATTGCTTCAAAGAGAATAAAATACCTGGGAATCCAACTTACAATGGATGTGAAGCACCCCTTCAAGGAGAACTACAAACCACTGCTCAATGAAATAAAAGAAGACACAAACAAATGGAAGAACATTCCATGCTTATGTGTAGGAAGAATTCATATCGTGAAAATGGCCATACTGCCCAAGGTAATTTATAGATTCAATGCCATCCCCATCAAGCTAGCAATGACTTTCTTCACAGAATTGAAAAAAACTATTTTAAAGTCCATATGGAACCAACAAAGAGCCTGCCTTGCCAAGACAATCCTAAGCCAAAAGAACAAAGCTGGAGACATCACGCTACCTGACTTCAAACTATACTACAAAGCTTCAGTAACTGAAACAGCATGGTAGTGGTACCAAAACAGAGTTATAGACCAATGGAACAGAACAGAGCCCTCGGAAATAACACCACACATCTACAACTATCTGATCTTTGACAAACCTGGCAAAAAGAAGAAATGGGGAAAGGATTCCCTATTTAATAAATGGTGCTGGGAAAACTGGCAAGACATATGTAGAAAGCTGAAACTGGATCCCTTCCTTATACCTTATACAAAAATTAATTCAAAATGGATTAAAGACTTAAATGTTAGATCTAAAACCATAAAAACCCTAGAAGAAAACCTAGGCAATACCATTCAGGACATAGGCATGGGCAAGGACTTCATGACTAAAACACCAAAAACAATGGCAACAAAAGCCAAAATTGACAAATGGGATCTAATTAAACTAAAGAACTTCTGCACAGCAAAAGAAACTACCATCAGAGTGAACAGGCAACCTATAGAATGGGAGAAAATTTTTGCAATCTACCCATCTGACAAAGGGCTAATATCCAGAATCTACAAAGAACTGAAACAAACTTACAAGAAAAAAATCAAACAGCCCCATACAAAAGTGGGCAAAGATATGAACAGACACTTCTCAAAAGAAGACATCTATGCAGCCAACAGACACATGAAAACAATGCTCATCATCACCGGTCATCAGAGAAATGAAAATCAAAACCACAATGAGATACCATCTCACACCATTTAGAATGGTGATCATTAAAATATGAGGAAACAACAGGTGTTGGAGAGGATGTGGAGAAATAGGAATGCTTTTACCCTGTTGGTGGGAGTATAAATTTGTTCAACCATTGTGGAAGACAGTGTGGTGATTCCTCAAGGATCTAGAACAAGAAATACCATTTGACCCAGCCATCCCATTACTGGGTATATACCCAAAGGATTATAAATCATGCTACTACAAAGACACATGCACATGTATGTTTATTGTGGCACTATTCACAATAGTAAATACTTGGAACCAACCCAAGTGTCCATCAATGATAGACTGGATTAAGAAAATGTGGCACATATATACCACAGAATACTATGCAGCCATAAAAAAGGATGAGTTCATGTCCTTTGTAGGGACATGGATGAAGCTGGAAACCATCATTCTGAGGAAACTATTTCAAGGACAGAAAACCAAATGCCACATGTTCTCACTCATAGGTGGAAATTGAATAATGAGAACACTTGGATACAGGGCGGTGAACATCACACACTGGGGCCTGTCGTGCAGTGGGGGATATGGGAGGGATAGCTTTAGGAGAAATACATAATGTAAATGACGAGTTGTTGGGTGCAGCATACCAACATGGCACATGTATACATACGTAACAAACCTGCACGTTGTGGGCATGTACCCTAGAACTTAAAGTATATTTAAAAAATAAGAATATATAACAATAAAAAAAGAGAACTGCTGATGCCTCTTTATATTTCCAGATAGTCATTTATAATATTTCACAGCTTAGAAATGTGTCATTTAAATACTATTTTCAAATTATCTTTCTTCATAACAAACAATTAAAAAACATTGAGCCTGCTCCACTGTTTATTAGCTATGTAAGTTTTCAGAACTTCATTGTTAGGACTTAGAAAAGTAGCAACACACATAAGCACCTGTTCCAATTGACAGCAATTTTTATTTTGTTTAGCTCACATCAGAGTCCAAAATGATAATGATTGCACCTCTGAGTAAGGCACTGGTGTGGGTTTGGAGACTCAGAGGAAAACTCTTCTGCCTCATCTCTGGGCCAGCACCAACTGGAAGAGGGACCAAAGGAGGAGACAGAGCACAGTTGAAAGCAATCTCCATGGTGATATTTCTTCTTGGCCCTGTCTGTCTCTTTCAAATTTCTTCTGAATACTTTAGCAGATGCAAAGATGGAGACATGGGCCTTGTAGCATAACCTTTCTAGCCTGTGATATGACCACAGCTTTAAGTGATGGGTAAAACAGAATGGGGAGGAGGTAAGGCAGGAAATGGCTGTGGCTGAGGCAGGATGCATTTGTTTCTTAAATGAATGAGTGAATTTACAATAAATCAACTTATAGCTCATTTCTTGAGGATGTAAGTGATTATGGGAAACAGAAAAAGAAAGGGAGTTAAATTGAAAACAAAATGAGGAAATTAAGATAATAGTGGAAATTGCACAAACCTAATTATAAATTCTAGAGAGAGGGTAAGATACTGAATGCTATCTGGTGGCTATGGCAACCTCTTAATTATTTTCCCAATTTCTGTTCTGCTAAGCATCTTTTGCTTCCACCATTAGTATTATGGAATGGTGAAGAATTCAGGAGCGTATAAGCAAATCCTGGGTTTTAGAGGGGTGGGGCTATAAAGACTGTGTAGGCAAGTATGGAAGGAATCTAGGATGTGGTGAGAGTAGCAGAAACCTATGGAAGACAAATACCTGCTTCCTTGCTTCATGCTTCCTTGGCTGTTCTGTGCCAAGTAACAAATAAAGCTGGTATCTGTAACTGTCTGCACATTACTCATATGACCACAGGGACTCGATAGCACTGGGAGAAGAGGGCTTGTGCTAATATTGCTCCCTCGTGTCGGACTCTTCAAGAGAAGTCCCAGGACTGTTCTGTCCCTTGTGGTCTCCCTTTGAGGATTATTGTTCTCTGCACCACTTTGTAGGTTTATAACTATATTCTGACCAACATACCACCTTATAGGTTTGTAACTACGTTCTGACCAACATCCGAGAAGTACTGTGGGTAGGTGGGCCAGGGCTCATGATTTGAGAGAGTCTGGGAATTTGTACTAATTTGGTAAGGCCTAAAGATACTGGGGCTTAGTAACATTATGTTTTCCCTTCAAAGCCGTAGATATTACTAGTGGCAGAATCAGACGCACACACTTTTCCGCTGACACTGCATTTTGTATAGTAATGGGAGACATCCAGTACTGATATGCTAACATGAGAATCTACTACTGAAGGTCATGGAACAAAACAGGTGTCATGGGGCTGACAGAAAGATACTGTTTACTCTTAAACAACTCAGATAAAGTTAGTAATCTTGTGCTGACAGTGTGCCCCAGGGAGAAGGCCCCTGTATATTCAATTGCATTAAAGCTTGTTTTGTTTTACTTTAAGGGATAAAACCCTCCTCTTTAGTGATAAAACAGTTGTTTTGATATAAATTGGGAATTCTGTAAGAGTAGGCAATTGGCTCCTGCTGGTGAGACTGGGACATGCTTTTAGGCAGAGGTGGCCTTATAACCTGCTCAGCTCTTCCTGTTTCAATTGTCTGCCTGCTCCTCATAGGATTCAAAGGTCTGTTTGCACACCTTAATTTCCTATGTCTGTCTTTAAAGGTAACACTTTTTTTGGTCTTGGTGTATATAAATTGATGACAAAAGTTAAATACTTCTGCAAAAGGATCTGAGTTTGGAAAGGGTAAAGTAAAAGGGAGTGGGTTGAAGGCACCTGCAGAGTCAGAGAGACCTGGCAAATGAAAAGTCCCCGAGGAACAGTCTCAGGTAGTGTCTAAAATGACCTTCGGAGAAAGCCACAGCTGCTTCTCTCATCAGTGAGACTTTCATGTTCCATCTGGGCCAGATGTGTGGGATGAGGAATGAGGAAGGATGTACAGGTGCACTTCACTTTATTGTACCTCATTTCATTGCACTTTGTGGATGATGCGCTTTTTACAAATTGAAGATTTGTGGCAACCCTGCATCAAACAAGTCTGTTGGTGCCATTTTCCCAACAGCAAGTGTTCACTTTTTTGTGTCTGTGTCACTTTTTGACAATTCTCACAGTATTTCAAACGTTTTCACTATTATCTGTCCTGATGATTTGGGATCAGTGATCTATGATGTCCCTATTGTAATTGTTTTGGGGTGCCACAATCTGCGCCTTACAAGATGATGAACTAGTTGATCATTGTGTGTTCTGACTGCTCCACCATGCAGCTGTTCCCTTGTCTCTCACCCTTGCCTCAGGCTTCCCTATTCCCTGACACAACAATATTGAAATCAAGTCAGTTAATAACATTACAGTGGCCTCTAAGTGTTCAAATGCAAGGCAGAGTTGCACATTTCTCACCTTCAACCAAAAGCTAGAAATGATGAAGCTTAGTGGGGCAGGTATGTGAAAAGCTGAGACAGGCCAAAAGCTAGACCTCTTGCACCAAACAATTAGCCAAGTTTGAATGCAAAGGAAAAGTAATTGAAGGAAATTAAAAGTGCTACTCCAGTGAATATATGAATGATAAGAAAGCTAAACAGCCTTACTGCTGATATGAAGAAAGTTTTATTGGTCTGGATAGAAGATTAAGCCAGCCGCAACATTCCCTTAAGCCACAGTCTAATTCAGAGCAAGGACCCCACAATTTTATAAAGTCTGACAGAGGTGAGGAAGCTGCAGGAAATAAGTTTGAAGCTAGCAGATGTTGGTTCATGAGGTTTAAGGAAATGACCTGTCCCCATTACATAAAAGTGGAAGGCGAAGCAGCAAGTGCTGATGGAGAAGCTGCAGCAAGTTATCCAGGGGATCTAATTTAGATCACTGATGAAGGTGGCTACAATAAACAACAGATTTTCAATGGAGACAAAGCAGACTTTTGTAGGAAGATTATACATCCAGGACTTTCATTGCTTGAGTGGAGAAGTCAATGCCTGGCTCCAAGGCTTCAAAGGGCAGGCTGACTCTCTCATTAGGGGCTGATGCAGCTGATGACTTTAAGTTGAAGTCAATGCTCACTTACCATTCCAAAAAACCTTAGAGCTTTTAAGAATTATGTTCAATCTATTCTTCCTGTGCTCTATAAATGGAACAACAAAGCCTGATGACAGCATATCTGTTTATAGCACGGCTTACTGAATTTTTTTTTTTTTTTTCTTTTTTTATTGATCATTCTTGGGTGTTTCTCGCAGAGGGGGATTTGGCAGGGTCATAGGACAATAGTGGAGGGAAGGTCAGCAGATAAACAAGTGAACAAAGGTCTCTGGTTTTCCTAAGCAGAGGACCCTGCGGCCTTCCGCAGTGTTTGTGTCCCTGGGTACTTGAGATTAGGGAGTGGTGATGACTCTTAAGGAGCCTGCTGCCTTCAAGCATCTGTTTAACAAACCACATCTGGCACCGCCCTTAATCCATTTAACCCTGAGTGGACACAGCACATGTTTCAGAGAGCACAGGGTTGGGGGTAAGGTCATAGATCAACAGGATCCCAAGGCAGAAGAATTTTTCTTAGTACAGAACAAAATGAAAAGTCTCCCATGTCTACCTCTTTCTACACAGACACAGCAACCATCCGATTTCTCAATCTTTTCCCCACCTTTCCCCCTTTTCTATTCCACAAAACCGCCATTGTTATCATGGCCTGTTCTCAATGAGCTGTTGGGTACACCCCAGACGGGGTGGTGGCCGGGCAGAAGGGCTCCTCACTTCCCAGTAGGGGTGGCCGGGCAGAGGTGCCCCTCACCTCCCGGACGGGGCGGCTGGCCGGGCGGGGGGCTGACCCCCCCACCTCCCTCCCGGACGGGGCGGCGGGCCGGGCGGGGGGCTGACCCCCCCACCGCTTACTGAATATTTTAAGCCCACTGTTGATACTTCTGTTTAGAAAAAAAGATTCAAAATATTACTGCTCATTGACAAAGCATTTGGTCACCCAAGATCTCTTATGGAGATATACAAGGAGATTTCATGCCTGCTAATACAACATCCCTTCTGCAGCTCATGGATCAAGGATAATTTTGACTTTTGAGCCTTATTATTTAAGAAATATATTTTATAAGGCTATAGTTGCCATAAATAGTGATTCTTCTGATAAACCTGGGCAAAGTAAATTGAAAACTTTCTGGGAAGGATTCACCATTCTAGATACCATTAACAACATTCATGATTCATGAGAGGAGATAAAAATATTAATGTTAACAACAGTTTGGAAGAAGTTGATTCCAACCCTCATAGATGACTTGGAGGGGTTCGAGACTTCATTGGAGGGAATCACTACAGATGTGGTGGAGGTAGCAAGAGAAGTAGAATTAGAAGTGGAGGCCAGGTGTGTTGGTTCATGCCTGTAATCCTAGCACTTTGGGAGGCCAAGGCAGGAGGATCACTTGAAACTAGGAGTTTGAGACCACACTGGGCAACACAGTGAGATCCTGTCTCAACAAAAAAAAAAATAATTAGTAAGACATGGTGGTGTGTGCCTGTAGTCCCAGCTGCTTGGGAGGCTGAGGTGTGAGCATCACTTGAGCCCAGGAGCTCAAGGCTGCAGTGAGCTATGATCACACTACTGTACTCAAGCCTGGGTGACAGAGTGAGACCCTGTCTCTAACAACAACAAAAGAAGAATGTAGGCTGAAGATGTGACTGAATTGCTGCAATCTCATGATAAAACTTGAATGGATGAGGAGCTGCTTCTTATGGATGAGAAAAGAAACTGATTTCTTGAGATGGAAATGACACTATGAGAATGAAAAGGCATAAGAATGATACAATGGACTTTGGGGACTTGGGGAAAGGGTGGGAGGGAGGTGAAGAATAAAAGCCTACACACTGGGCACAGTGTACACTGCTCAGGTGATGGCACCAAAATCTCAGAAATCACCACTACAGAACCTATCCCTGTAACCAAACACTACCCAACCCCCCAAAACCTATTGAAATAAAAAATAAATAAAATCTCCTTCTTCATCTCAAAAAAAAAAAAACTACTTTTGGCGAAGATGCTGTGAACATTATGAAATGACAACAAAGGATTTAGAATATTAAATAAACTTGATAAACAGCAGCAGGGTTTGAGAAGATTGACTTCAATTTTGAAACAAGTTCTACTATGCTTAAAATGCGATCAAACAGCATCACACATGCTACAGAGAAACATTTTGTGAGAGGAAGAGTCATTCTATGTGACAAACCTCATTGTTATCTTAGTTTAGGAAATTGCTACAGCCACCCCAGCCTTCAGCAATCACCATCTTGATCAATCAGCAGCTATCAATACTGAGGCAAGACCCTCCACCAGCAGAAAGATTATGACTCACTGAAGGCTCGGAGGATTGTTAGCATCTTTTAGCAATAAAGTATTTTTAAATTAAAGCGCATATATTGTTTTCTAGACATAATGCTATTGCACATGTAATAGATTACGGTGTAGTATAAACATAACTTTTATATGCCCTGAGAAACCAAAAAATTCATGTGGCTCTTTTTATAGTTACATTTGCTTTATTGCAGTTGCTGGCATTGAACTTGCAATATCTCTGAGGTGTGCCTGTAGTATCTATAAAGGGGTGAGAAGGGTACTCAGCATACAGTAAGTGATCAGCAAGTGTCAGCTAGTAGCAGTGGTGTCAGCAATAGTAATGGTAATGGTAATACTCTTGATGTCAGTCCCAGGATCGTGGTTTGGTCTCCTTAAGCTCACGTATTATACAATTTCACATCATAGGTGTCCAGATACATAAATAGAACTGAAGGCCCTAAAGGGAGAGACAGAGTTGGCGGGCTTGGAAAGCACTTACCTCATGTTACCTATGCACTGCAGACAGCCTCAGCCTCCAATTCCAAGAAAGGACTGTGCCTTATTAGCAGATATGAAAGTTCTCAGATGCTGTTGATTCATGGTTCAGCAGCTCCTCCTCTGCCTGTGTATCTGAAAACACTTCCCTCCTAAGTCTTCAAAAAAGGCAAAATCATAAGCCTTTGCTACAAAACATACCTTCCTTCAGGCAGGGATCAATGTGGGTACAGACATTGGGCCTGACCCAGTTTGTCTTCTATCTGGACCGTCGGATAGATGATGGGTGATGAAGGCACCCAGGGACACCGGCACTAGGGCCATATCTAGAGTGTGATGTCTGAGAGTGGTTTTCACTTAATCAGGTACAATAAGGCCACTACTGAGGAATAGTGATTAACATTCTATGTGAGGCTAATGCCTCCAAAACCCTTCAAAACCCTCCCAAGAAAATTAACATGGTAGCTGTCATCTAGGCTCCTCGTCTCACAGGCAGTAAGTCAGTCCACTACCTGTCACGCTGGGAACCTCTGCAAATTTTGGAGACCTCACAAAAAAGGAAAATTCACCTACATTTATAAGAACTGCATGAAAAATCTATTGGAAAAAGTGTCTTTGTCTTGGTTTTCTACATTTGTGATAGAAAAACAAATAATAGAACTTTTCAAGATTCATTTTGAAAATTTCCAAATAGAAGTTCATTCTTTGGCATTGGTAGTTATTTAATGCTGTTAGGCTCTGGATTTCCTGAGCAAGCTTAGGAAGGCCTATCTGGCTAATTAAAACTCTTGCTGTATATATGTAAATAACCAAGCTGTACATAATAATGGCATTGAGGGATCAAGAATAATTGTTGGAGATTATGTATGATCACAAGGTAGAAAATGACATTAAAATGATCCAACATGTGGAAATAAGCAAAAGGCATTATTGGGTATTCTTTCTGTGTGATGCGAGGCTTGACTACTGTCTAAGATACTCAACTCTGTTGAGAGGTAACTTGCAATTTTGCTTATAGACAAGTAAATAATTTTTTTGTCTGGCAGAACGTATACCCCAAAATTACATTTTATGGCTGATATGGTTTAGGTCTGTGTCCCCGCCCAAATCTCATGCCAGATTGTAATCCCCAATATTGGAGGTGGGGCCTGGTAGGAGGTGATTGGGTCATGGGGGTGGTCCTTCAGGAACAGTTTGGCACCATCCCTTGATGCTGTTCTTGCGATAGTGGGTAAGTTCTCATGAGATCTGGTTGTTTAAAAGTGTGTAGCACTGCCGCCTTCCACTCTTGCTCCTGCTCCAGCCTTGTAAGATGTGCATGCTTCCCCTTTTCCTTCCAACATATTGAAAGTTTCCTGAGGTCTCCCAAGAAGCCATCATGCTTCCTGCACAGCCTGTGGAACTGTGAGCCAATTACACCTCATTTCTTTATAAATTACCCAGTTGCAGGAATTTCTTTATAGGAGTGCAAGAACGGGCTAATACAATGACTATCTTAGGAACAGTCATTAAATGGGCACAAGGGAAATCTTATCCCCCTACAAATTACCCAAGATTCTCAAATGTCCTTTGAACTAATTATAATGTCTTACTGGTTTTCTCGTTAATCAATAAGTTAAGTAAAATCTTTTACATGCATGTATTTTAAATTTGCATGAAAGTCATGACCTTGCTTTTTTTTTTTTTTTCCTAATTTTACTTTAACAGGAAACACAGAGAAATACCACAAGCAAAGCCTCAGTAGTGGGACTATGAGACACAGAGAAGATTAAATGACTTGAGGAGGGATCTGCTGGGGTCTGAATGTTTGTGTATCCTCTTCCAAATTCATGTATTGAAACCTAATCCTGAAGTGATGGTATTAAGAGGTAGGGCCTTTGGGAGGTACTTAGGTCATCATGGTGGAGCCCTCGTGAATGGAGTTAGTGCCCTTATAACAGGTTAGAGAGAGGCTCCCCGCCCCTTCCACCATGTGGGGACACAGCAAGAAGGCACCATCTATGAATCAGGAAACACACCATCACCAGATAACAAACCTGTCAATACTTTGATCTTGGATTTCTCAGCCTCCAGAACTGTGAGAAACAAATTTCTGTTGCTTATAAATTACTCATTCTACAGTATTTTGTTATAGCAGTCCACACAGACTAAGACAGGATCATTAAAAGCATTTGCTGAGCACCTGTGCTATTTCAGAAACTGCCTTTATACCTCTGTCTCCTTCAGCTATGTAAAATAGGTATTAACAGGAACTGTGATTGGAATTTTAGGTAAGCAGAGCTGCACTGAAACATTAAGTTGCCTCTCAAGGAGAGGAATAGAGGAAGATTTGGCCCAGAAAGAAAGATTGAAACACTGTAACAATAGCTGAATTCCAGGCTAAGCAATAAGGATGCTAAACCTTATGCAGTAAGAACTTCCCAACTACCATGACATGGACTGTCCGCATGGGCTTCACCAATTCATTGCAACTGGGACTGCAAAGGAAGAGATCTAGGGTGTTTCACTCTCAAAATGCATACACTGTCCTTTCTTATTTAACCACCAATTTTCTATCACAATTTAGAATTGTATCCACTAAAAGAAATGTTCAAGATCTAACCCCTAGGACTTGAGAATGTGACCTTATTTGGGAATAGTCTTTGTGATGTAATCAAATTAAGATGAGGCTGTGGGGCAAGCTCTTCTAATCCAATGACTTTTTTCCTTAGAAAATGAGTGAAATTTGAATAAGCACACAGGGGAGAAAACCGTGTAACTCTGGAGGCAGAGATTGGAAGGATGCATCTACAAGTCAAAGAGTAGCAAGGATTGCCAGAAACCACTAGAAGCCAGAAAGAGGCAAGGAAGGATCCTCCCCTAGAGTCTTCAGAGAGAGTGTGGCCCTGTTGACACCTTGTGGCCTCAAGAACTGTGAGATGATAATTTTTTCTTGTTTTAAGCTACCCAGTTTGTGGTAATTTGTTACAGCAGCCCCGGAAACTAATACAGACTTGATATTGGGAGGAACAAGTGACTGTTGCTTTATATAGCAGAGCAGTCTTTGCAGATGTGATTAAATTAAGGCTTTCACAGTGAGGAGATTATCCTGGATTATCTAGGTGGGTTTAAATGTAAACACAAAGATCTTTCTAAGGGGGAAACAAGAAAGTCAAAGAAGGAAGACAATGTGAAGATGGCAGGAGAGATTGGTGCGACGTGGCCACAAGCCAAAGAACACTAGTAGCATAGAGATGCTGGAAGAGGCCAGGAACAGATTCTCTCGTGGAGCCTCTAGAAGGTACCCTGCTAATTAGCCTGATTTTATCCCCATAACACTCATTTTGGACTTCTGACTTCCAGAACTGTAAGAGGAAAATTTTATGTTGTTTTAGGCCACTACATTTTTGGTAATTTGTCATGATAGCAATAGGAAGCTGATACTCCAAGGTTACATAATCTGTGTAAGAGCTAGGACAGTACTATACCTTTCATCTCCTGTTATTATTTGTGCACTATCTTAATAAGTTAAGCTTTGCATTGATTTAGCATCATGGCGGCAGAAGAAAAGCCCCGAGTTTTGTGCACACACACACATACACATACACACAAAATCAAAAACATAATGTTCTTTTTTTATTTTTATTTTTAAACACAGTATTCTTTTTTAATACATTTCAAGCGAATCACTTAATGTGAGTGAGGCTGAGTTAGATGTTACCATAAGTATTAACAGAAGAAAAAGGGAAAGTAAAGACATTTTCCCTCTACCATAAAAGGGTCTGATGCAAGATAAACTAGCCTGTTGGTTTAACAATAGCTCATTAAAAAGGCCAGACAATCTGGGAGAAGAAGATGTACTTAGAAGCACTATCCTTTGAAGGACCATTCCCAAGAGGACAGCAAAATATTGAAAAAATTAACTGGCTCAAAAATTATATTGAGAGATCAAGACAGTTAGCCACAGCTTAGAAAAATTTCCTGAATAAATAACACTAACTAGCTAGGTTAGTAGTTCTGATGTTTCCTTGGAGTTGTCATAGCACTCTGTGTGAACCAAAGGGACTACAAACTGATGCCCCTTTGAACAGAGTGATTTGAATAGATTCTCCAGTGCACCAACTGTATTTTCAAGTATAATTCTGGTATTTGTACCTAGCAATACAGAAGAAAAAGCAGCAAGGAGAAAGTGTCAAGTATATAGGACATAAGATGATTTGCCAGCCCTAGCTAGAATTCCCAATATGAATCTTTTTCATCAGGAAAACCACATTCTGGCTCAGTCCAAGGTAACACCGGAGGCAGTGATATTGATGGCTTGTTATAAGCAGGAGGCAACAGTGAAAGTACCGAATCCTGGCTTTCTTCTTTCATCTGTTTGAAGAAAACATGGGACAATAAACTGCTTGCTGATGGCCTTTTCTCCGGATCTTGTTGCAAACACAGCTGTACCCAGCTAAAGAAGGCAGGAGAGAAGGTTTTTGAGGATGGTGTGTGTAATCGGTCACTATTTACTGTGTGAGTTCCACTGGAGACAAGCACACTTGCTCCAATCCCAGAGTCTACACCTGACCGGGAATTTTTCATTTTGGATTCTGATTGAGGGAAAATACTGATATCCAATGGGCTATAAGGGGGACCTTTCAGTTTCTGTTAACAGCATCTGAGTTCTATGCACGTCCTGGAAAGGCACCTGCCCACTGGCTAATTCACATGTTGTAATCCCAACACTGTAAATATCTGACTTCACATTATACCCATGTAAATCCTGTCTCAGTAGTTCTGGACTCAGCCATGGCTGCACTAATGTGCTGAACTGTGGGAAATCATACACAGCCCTATGCCTCTGTCCATGCTTAACCAAACTATGCAGATGGGACAGGCCAGAGAGGGTCACTAGGCCATCACCAGAAATGAGGATATGGCTGGCTTTAATTCTCCTGTGAATACAGCCATATTGGTAGAGATAGTTCAATCCTCTCACTGCTCCAAAGAGAATGTTTCTTATTAAAGTTTTACTCATTCCTTCAGGAAAATAGGTCCTCAAGAGTTGTCTTGCTGAACCATAGGCCATAAATGGAGAAATAACCCAAAGCCAGCTGCCAACAGTGAAAACTGTCCAATAAGTTGTAATATTGGGATGCCGGAAAAAGTGGGATAGAATCATGGCTTTCTGTAAAACTTTCAGGCGTTCTTTATTGCCGTTTTCCAGATTTGTAATTTTTGTAGTTACCAGCGTTCCCGTAGGAGTATGCCGTGCTAGATGGACAGAAGTCAACTTGTCAAATCCTCTTCCTATTTCTACTTGGAGCTCGTAGTGAGAAACGTTGGCGGAACATACTACTTCACTGGCTCTAGTGGATGGAGGCGACCAGGAAAGGGTTGGCTCTTCGACCAAGTATTGATGGATACTGGTTTCAGACTTGTTTTTCATGTTTGAGTGATTCAACTTGTGTTCTTGAACTAAAGCTCACAGAAAGTGACAAAAATCCAAATATTCCAAAGAAGGCTTTTGTTTTATCTTCCTTTGAAGATGCAGATATATCCTACTTAGCGGCGACGACGGCCAGCGACTCCCTACAGGCTGCCAGTGGTGCGGACCTGGGCGGGTGCCGGAGCCCGGATCACAGAGGGGCAAGGCGAGCGCTCTAGGCCCACTCCTGGCGTGGGGCGCTGGAGGGTGGCAAGGCCGCGACAGGGGCTGTGGGCTTGGAACTCTAAACATAGTATTCTTACGTAGCCAACTGGAATATCTGGTCAACCGTGAGAGCTTTGGGAACCTGCCTCTCACCTCAAGAAACCTCCAGAGCAGATTGGAACCATCCACTGGGTAAATTCTGGAAAATCTGTCTCTGCCTGAGACTGGGGTAGGAAGATGTGGGGTAGAGAGGAAGGTGGGGAAGGGATGTAGGATCTATTCCTTGGGTGCATCTTTACTTGTTAGGTCATGCATATTTTCAAACTTGGAAGAATTATACGAAAAGCAACTAGAGAAACTATGTGTTCATGGGCAGATTATTTTTCCAGGCGTCACCTTCCTTTTTTTCCCTTGGTTCCTAATGATTTAGACTCTGCCTTTGAGCCTCAGTGCTGTTAACTTTTGAATGAGTAACTTGAGGCCTTCCTGAAAGACTATAATAAAAAACCCATATTATACAATCACTAAGAACCCCCAGCTCTACGCTTGGAAATGGCAAGGTATATGCCTGTCTCTCTTCTTCCCCAAATCACCCCTCAGCCTCCCACTCCACCCTGGGAAGACAATCAGGTCCTGTGCCTTGTTTTCTAGGCAATATTTGGGTCATTTAATAAGGCTCTTTTGCATCCATCACTATAACCTGAAGCGAAAAATGTAGCTTTGGAAATGGTGTTTATAGCAGGCCCATGGGCAAAACGTTTCAACCGGGCAAAACTGAAGCAATCACCAGATTATGGAGCCGTATTTCTGTTTCTTTAAAGACAAACATTTTTGTGTGTGTGGCTCCACCCAGCCTGAGCTTCCTGACTGAGAGGTTTTGGTGGCGGTACAGACACTTTTAACTCACAGTAAAAGCAAAAGCAACAGCTCAAGCAGCCTCCTTGGAGAAAACCTGAAAATTCAACTTGTTCAAGAGAAGGTGAGCCTGGCTGAGAAGAGGGTCTGGTGCTATTGGGCTGCGAAGGGCAGTGGGGACAGGGTGTGTGGCTGGAGTGGACTCTGCCCTTAGGAGGGACAAGGCACTGTGCTAAGCAGCACTGCATAGAAGGTGCTGTGGGAGGGGTGAGTAGAAGGGGAGTGAGGAGATTTGTTTGCATGGAGCCCATGCATCTCATATGTAACAGGACACACATGGCTGCATAGTGCACCCTCCACTCACTGGCTGTTGTGATAGACACAGAGTGTTGCCTGATAACCTTCATAAGAAATTAAGGGCTCCTAAGACAGATTTGTAAAGGTGACAGGCAATTTAGAGTCCACCTGTCTAAGTCCCTCTTCTTACAGAAAAAGAATCAGAATCCCAATCCCAGAGATTTTGATGATTCTCCAAGGGGTACCCAGATCACTCATGGCGGAGGAACACTAGAATTCAGTCTGCTGACTTTTTCCAGCATTAAGCAGAGACAAGCTGTGTCCCTAACAGTGTAACATGTGGGGCTGCTGCGCCATTCAGTACAAAAAGAGTTGCCATAAAAGACCTTTATAGAAATCACTCTATGAAAGCCTAAGGACAACCCTGCAAGATTGGTTTTATTTTCCTTTTTTATAGCAGAGGGAACTGGATCTCAAGGAGCTACGAAATTTTCTAGAACCGGTGGGTCTGGCCACAGTTTAGAACTGTTCACCTCTGTTGTAAATGCTTTTGTCATTTCTCAGCCTTTCTCTTAGCTGGAGGTCCTCTGGATCTTCCAGGAACCACTTGAGAAAGTTTTAAAACTTGAGAAAGTTTTAAAGTGATATTTCTGACCATCTCTCTCACGTTTGGCTTCTCAATATGAGAGAGATGGAAAAGTCCACGAGAAATGCGGAGCCCTCCTCACGGTTCCCTTATAACAGGCTGGCTCCCAGCTCACCTTTTTGCAGAAAGCGTGGATCATCTCCTTTGCCCTCCACTGGTCTATCTCTGTGCCATGTCAATGAAAATTTAGAATCATGGCCTGAGAGTAGCCAAGAACAGGCAGTAGAGTGCACGGTTAAGAGTGAGCATGGTAGATTCAGACAGACTTTGAATCGAATGTCTTCTCTGCCCAATACCTCTTAGCACAGTGACCAGGGGCATGTTTCCCAGAATTTTTGAGCCACACCAGCTTCCTCATTTAAAAAATTAGAATAATAAAATTAGTTTCACTGTAGAGTATTTTTGAAGAATAAACGAGATATACAAAACATGTTTTATCAGGGTGTTCTGATATGCAGTCTCTGCTCGATAGTGGTTACACTATACATGGGTTAATTTTTTTATTTGTGAAAAATTTATACTTATTCAAAGGTAAAAACAATATAAGGAACTTCCATGTACCTATATTAAAATCTCACAGTTATCAATTTATGCCAGTCTTGTTCAAATATCTGCTCCTATTCTCAACTCTATCACAGATTATTTTGAAGCAAATGTCAGACATTACATCATTTTATCAGTAAATATTTGAGTATGTGTCTCTGAAAGATAAAGACCATTTAAAAACATTTCCACAATTTCATAAACAGCCTTCAAAAGGCAACTATAAATTTTAATACTACCAGTTGTATTCAGATTTCCCTGAAGATCTCATAATTTTTAAAATTGTTTGAGGTAGGATCTAAGTAAAATTCATACATTACAATTGTTTGACATCTCTTATGTTTCACTTAATGTGTAGGTTTTCACCTTCCTTGTTTCTTTGTGTTAAATTTCTTTGTTTAAGGAAGGGAAGGTCTTTTGTCCAACAGAACTGGGCAGTATTCATACTGCTGATTGCATCCTAACAATGTCATTTAACATTCGCTTCTAGCTCCAGTGTTTTGTGTGAATTTATATGAATGGGGAGGTTGGATCAGATTAAAGTTTGACTTTGTTTTTTTAGTGGGAATACTTCATAGATGCTATCCTAAACTTCTATTAGAAGGCACATATGTTTGAATGCCTCTCTTTTTGTGATGTTAGCAGATGTTAATGATTGTCTAGAATGAATTTGTTTCATTAAAAGTTACCAAAAGATGATATTCTATCATTCTTTATTTATTTATTAGATGGAATAGTCATACACAAAGGAACTTTCATTCAGTGATTCTTTCATTTTTGTGAGATATAGTTAAAAGATGAGATGTATGAAAGACAAAATAAATGCTTCTTTCCCTTTAGTTGTCAATGTTCAGAATGATGAGTCACTTTCTTAGCATACTCCAAAGGGAGCAATTAACTTCTTTCAGGAAGATGGTGTTGTTATCAACTACTGGATTTCAATATATTTGGTATATTTTAATCCATTGGAATAATCTTTATTAATGATGCTCAAATTATTCCATCTTTGTCCAGTTGGAACCTCTTTAAGGTAGCTTCCAAGCCCTTCTGATAAAACTAAGTAATTTTTTATAGCATCCCTACTTTCTAGTATGAAAGATGTTGTAGGCTAAACTTGTATGTTTACTGGCCCAGACCTGGAATCAGTACTTTTTCCTAGTAGTCCTAATTTCTTTTGTGGGAAATACCATTTGAAGATCACAATCTGGGCATTAAGTGCACTCACTGCTACTTGGCTGACCATGGTTTATGCCTTTTAGATGGACTTCAAAACAGTACACACACACACACATACACACACACACACAGTGAAATTATTAATACTACATTTTCAAGCCTTTCAGGACAAATCTTTGTGTGGTTCATCCTTGACACAAGATACAGTTAGGTTTATTTGTTCCGTTTCTTTTAACTTTTACTGGTGTTTTAAAATATAATTTTTATTGTATAATTATGTAAACTATTTAAATGTTCTCAAGATCAAATTTGCAAAAACAAAGGATATTCAAAGAAGTCTAATGACCATTTTCTGTTCCTGTCCCTTGTACCTTGTTTCTCTCATCTTCATATAAATAATTCTTTTGTTTAGTTTTCAAATGGTTCTGCCATTGCTTTTTCACATGCACATAAAAATTATTTATATATATAAAACTAATATTCCTTCTTCTTATATAAATGATAGTAAACTATACATTATTTTCTTCACTTGGCTTTTTTTCACTTAGCAGTATATCACAGAGATCTCTTCATACTGGTATATAGATATATTTCTCATTCCTTTTTGCAGTTGGATTGTACTTTTCTGTATGAATATTCCTTAGTTTATTCAACTGGTCCCCACTGATGGGCATCATTCCTTTCTGTATTTTTGTCAGTGCAGCTCTGGGATAAATCCTAAAATCGGGATTGATAATCAAAGAGTAAATGCATGTGTAATTTTTCAAGGTATTGCCACCTTCTCCTCTATAGGTGTTAGGTTGTTTTCCCCTTCACACTAGTCATGCAAGAAATTATCTGTTTTCCCCATACCTTTACCACCAGATTATGCTGGGAAATGGATTTTTGCCATACCTATAGTAGAGAAATAGTGATCTCTGAGAATTTTTTATTTTTTCTATGTTTTTAATTATTTTTCTCTATTGTGAATGAACTTGGATATCTTTTTATGTATTCAAGGATAATTTATATATTTTTTTCTTTGGCCGTGGGTTCATATCTTGCCCGATTTTCTATCAAGTCATTGGTCTTTTGTTTCTTTACTTTTAGCTATTCTTCATACAGTAGGAAAAGTAGCCCTCTTTGAGATAAATCGGAAAAAATGTTTTCCTAGTTTGATATTTGTGTTTTAATTTGCCTATGGTGTTGTATGCCTTACATAATTTTTTGGATTTTTGTGTAATCAAACTTATCAGTCTTTTCCTTATACTATTTTAAATCTTAGTTATTAACATCCTCCCCACTCCCAGGTTACAAAAAATTTACCCGTGTTTCTCTTATTATTTATATGGGATAGTTTTTGCATTCAAATTTCTGATCTATTTGGAATTTGTATGATATGAGGAATTGGAGGCAATTTTATCTTTAAAATTGCATCCAATTATATGGTGGTATAGTTATTTCAGTGTTGCTAATAAAAGTGTCCATCATCTTTCCCATTGGTATGAGGTGTTGCTTCACAG